>NC_000007.14:58272762-58356042 GCF_000001405.40 Homo sapiens | reverse complement strand
GAAGAATTCTCAGTAAATTCTTTGTGCCCCCCCATCCCCCACCCCCACCCTGTTTTGTAGGCTATTTAAGGAGAATTTAGTAATATGTACCTGCTTCTCCTTCCTAACTGCAGTTGAGCTAGGAGACCCTTTCACAGGAAAACACCAGTTTTGCTATTCATCTACTCGCTCGACAAGTATGTGCACCAGGCAGCATTCTGGCTGCTAGGGATGCTGTGGGGAAAAGCAGGCGAGACCCTAGCCCATGGAGCTTCCATTCTAATGTGTGAGTCAGACAAGAAACAAGTAACTGATCAAGACCGAAATAATTCAGGGGTGATATCCGTCTAGCATTCAATGAAGAAATCCCGTTTCCAACGAAGGCCTCAAACAGGTCCATATATCCAATTGCAGACTTTACAAACAGTGTGTTTCCAAACTCCTCTATGAAAAGAAAGGTTAAACTCTGTGAGTTGAACGCACACATCACAAAGCACTTTCTGAGAATGATTCTGTCTGGTTATTATACGAAGATATTTCCTTTTCTGCAATTGTCCTCAAATCGCTTGAAATCTCCACCTGAAAATGCCACAGCAAGAGTGTTTCAAATCTGCTCTCTCTAAAGCAAGGTTCAACTCTGTGAGTTGAATACACACAACACAAAAAAGTTACTGAGAACTCTTCTTAGTCTAGCATGAAAGGAAGAAACCCCGTTTGCAACGAAGGCCTCAAAGAGGTCCAAATATCCACTTGCAGACATAACAAGCAGAGTGTTTCTAAACTGCTCTAAGAAAAGAAAGGTTAAACTCTGTGAGTTGAAGGCACACATCACAAAGTAGTTTCTGAGAATGATTCTGTCTAGTTTTTATTTGAAGATATTTCCTTTTCTACTGTTGGCATCTAATCGCTTGAAATCTCCACTTGCAAACTCCACAAAAAGAGTGTTTCAAATCTGCTCTGTGCAAAGGGATGTTCCACTCTGTGAGTTGAATACACACAGCACAAAGAAGTTACTGAGAATTCTTCTGTCTAGCATGAAATGAAGAAATCCCGTTTCCAACGAAGGCCTCAATGCGGTCCATATATCCACTTGCAGACTTTACAAACAGAGTGTTTCCAAACTGCTCTATGAAAAGAAAGGTTAAACTATGTGAGTTGAACGCACACATCACAAAGAATTTTCTGAGAATGATTCTGTCTGGTTTTTATTTGAAGATATTTCCCTTTCTACTGTTGGCATCAAATGGCTAGAAATCTCCACTTGCAAATTCCGCAAAAAGAGTGTTTCAAATCTGCTCTGTCTAAAGGGACGTTCCACTCTGTGAGTTGAATGCACACAACACAAAGAATTTACTGAGAATTCTTCTGTCTAGCAGTCAATGAAGAAATCCCGTTTCCAACGAAGGCCTCAAACAGGTCCATATATCCAATTGCAGACTTTACAAACAGTGTGTTTCCAAACTCCTCTATGAAAAGAAAGGTTAAACTCTGTGAGTTGAACCCACACATCACAAAGCACTTTCTGAGAATGATTCTGTCTGGTTGTTATACGAAGATATTTCCTTTTCTGCAATTGTCCTCAAATCGCTTGAAATCTCCACCTGAAAATGCCACAGCAAGAGTGTTTCAAATCTGCTCTCTCTAAAGCATGGTTCAACTCTGTGAGTTGAATACACACAACACAAAAAAGTTACTGAGAACTCTTCTTAGTCTAGCATGAAAGGAAGAAACCCCGTTTGCAACGAAGGCCTCAAAGAGGTCCAAATATCCACTTGCAGACATAACAAGCAGAGTGTTTCTAAACTGCTCTAAGAAAAGAAAGGTTAAACTATGTGAGTTGAACGCACACATCACAAAGAATTTTCTGAGAATGATTCTGTCTGGTTTTTATTTGAAGATATTTCCCTTTCTACTGTTGGCATCAAATGGCTAGAAATCTCCACTTGCAAATTCCGCAAAAAGAGTGTTTCAAATCTGCTCTGTCTAAAGGGACGTTCCACTCTGTGAGTTGAATGCACACCACACAAAGAATTTACTGAGAATTCTTCCGTCTAGCATTCAATGAAGAAATCCCGTTTCAAACGAAGGCCTCAAACAGGTCCATATATCCAATTGCAGACTTTACAAACAGTGTGTTTCCAAACTCCTCTATGAAAAGAAAGGTTAAACTCTGTGAGTTGAACGCACACATCAAAAAGCACTTTCTGAGAATGATTCTGTCTGGTTGTTATACGAAGATATTTCCTTTTCTGCAATTGTCCTCAAATCGCTTGAAATCTCCACCTGAAAATGCCACAGCAAGAGTGTTTCAAATCTGCTCTCTCTAAAGCAAGGTTCAGCTCTGTGAGTTGAATACACACAACACAAAAAAGTTACTGAGAACTCTTCTTAGTCTAGCATGAAAGGAAGAAACCCCGTTTGCAACGAAGGCCTCAAAGAGGTCCAAATATCCACTTGCAGACATAACAAGCAGAGTGTTTCTAAACTGCTCTAAGAAAAGAAAGGTTAAACTCTGTGAGTTGAAGGCACACATCACAAAGTAGTTTCTGAGAATGATTCTGTCTAGTTTTTATTTGAAGATATTTCCTTTTCTACTGTTGGCATCAAATCGCTTGAAATCTCCACTTGCAAACTCCACAAAAAGAGTGTTTCAAATCTGCTCTGTGCAAAGGGACGTTCCACTCTGTGAGTTGAATACACACAGCACAAAGAAGTTACTGAGAATTCTTCTGTCTAGCATGAAATGAAGAAATCCCGTTTCCAACGAAGGCCTCAATGCGGTCCATAGATCCACTTGCAGACTTTACAAACAGAGTGTTTCCAAACTGCTCTATGAAAAGAAAGGTTAAACTATGTGAGTTGAACGCACACATCACAAAGAATTTTCTGAGAATGATTCTGTCTGGTTTTTATTTGAAGATATTTCCCTTTCTACTGTTGGCATCAAATGGCTAGAAATCTCCACTTGCAAATTCCGCAAAAAGAGTGTTTCAAATCTGCTCTGTCTAAAGGGACGTTCCACTCTGTGAGTTGAATGCACACAACACAAAGAATTTACTGAGAATTCTTCCGTCTAGCATTCAATGAAGAAATCCCGTTTCCAACGAAGGCCTCAAAGAGGTCCATATATCCACTTGCAGACTTTACAAACAGTGTGTTTCCAAACTCCTCTATGAAAAGAAAGGTTAAACTCTGTGAGTGGAACGCACACATCACAAAGCACTTTCTGAGAATGATTCTGTCTGGTTATTATACGAAGATATTTCCTTTTCTGCAATTGTCCTCAAATCGCTTGAAATCTCCACCTGAAAATGCCACAGCAAGAGTGTTTCAAATCTGCTCTCTCTAAAGCAAGGTTCAACTCTGTGAGTTGAATACACACAACACAAAAAAGTTACTGAGAACTCTTCTTAGTCTAGCATGAAAGGAAGAAACCCCGTTTGCAACGAAGGCCTCAAAGAGGTCCAAATATCCACTTGCAGACATAACAAGCAGAGTGTTTCTAAACTGCTCTAAGAAAAGAAAGGTTAAACTCTGTGAGTTGAAGGCACACATCACAAAGTAGTTTCTGAGAATGATTCTGTCTAGTTTTTATTTGAAGATATTTCCTTTTCTACTGTTGGCATCAAATCGCTTGAAATCTCCACTCGCAAACTCCACAAAAAGAGTGTTTCAAATCTGCTCTGTGTAAAGGGACGTTCCACTCTGTGAGTTGAATACACACAGCACAAAGAAGTTACTGAGAATTCTTCTGTCTAGCATGAAATGAAGAAATCCCGTTTCCAACGAAGGCCTCAATGCGGTCCATATATCCACTTGCAGACTTTACAAACAGAGTGTTTCCAAACTGCTCTATGAAAAGAAAGGTTAAACTATGTGAGTTGAACGCACACATCACAAAGAATTTTCTGAGAATGATTCTGTCTGGTTTTTATTTGAAGATATTTCCCTTTCTACTGTTGGCATCAAATGGCTAGAAATCTCCACTTGCAAATTCCGCAAAAAGAGTGTTTCAAATCTGCTCTGTCTAAAGGGACGTTCCACTCTGTGAGTTGAATGCACACAACACAAAGAATTTACTGAGAATTCTTCCGTCTAGCATTCAATGAAGAAATCCCGTTTCCAACGAAGGCCTCAAACAGGTCCATATATCCACTTGCAGACTTTACAAACAGTGTGTTTCCAAACTCCTCTATGAAAAGAAAGGTTAAACTCTGTGAGTGGAACGCACACATCACAAAGCACTTTCTGAGAATGATTCTGTCTGGTTATTATACGAAGATATTTCTTTTTCTGCAATTGTCCTCAAATCGCTTGAAATCTCCACCTGAAAATGCCACAGCAAGAGTGTTTCAAATCTGCTCTCTCTAAAGCAAGGTTCAACTCTGTGAGTTGAATACACACAACACAAAAAAGTTACTGAGAACTCTTCTTAGTCTAGCATGAAAGGAAGAAACCCCGTTTGCAACGAAGGCCTCAAAGAGGTCCAAATATCCACTTGCAGACATAACAAGCAGAGTGTTTCTAAACTGCTCTAAGAAAAGAAAGGTTAAACTCTGTGAGTTGAAGGCACACATCACAAAGTAGTTTCTGAGAATGATTCTGTCTAGTTTTTATTTGAAGATATTTCCTTTTCTACTGTTGGCATCAAATCGCTTGAAATCTCCACTTGCAAACTCCGCAAAAAGAGTGTTTCAAATCTGCTCTGTGCAAAGGGACGTTCCACTCTGTGAGTTGAATACACACAGCACAAAGAAGTTACTGAGAATTCTTCTGTCTAGCATGAAATGAAGAAATCCCGTTTCCAACGAAGGCCTCAATGCGGTCCATATATCCACTTGCAGACTTTACAAACAGAGTGTTTCCAAACTGCTCTATGAAAAGAAAGGTTAAACTATGTGAGTTGAACGCACACATCACAAAGAATTTTCTGAGAATGATTCTGCCTGGTTTTTATTTGAAGATATTTCCCTTTCTACAGTTGGCATCAAATGGCTAGAAATCTCCACTTGCAAATTCCGCAAAAAGAGTGTTTCAAATCTGCTCTGTCTAAAGGGACGTTCCACTCTGTGAGTTGAATGCACACAACACAAAGAATTTACTGAGAATTCTTCCGTCTAGCATTCAATGAAGAAATCCCGTTTCCAACGAAGGCCTCAAACAGGTCCATATATCCACTTGCAGACTTTACAAACAGTGTGTTTCCAAACTCCTCTATGAAAAGAAAGGTTAAACTCTGTGAGTTGAACGGCACACATCACAAAGCACTTTCTGAGAATGATTCTGTCTGGTTATTATACGAAGATATTTCCTTTTCTGCAATTGTCCTCAAATCGCTTGAAATCTCCACCTGAAAATGCCACAGCAAGAGTGTTTCAAATCTGCTCTCTCTAAAGCAAGGTTCAACTCTGTGAGTTGAATACACACAACACAAAAAAGTTACTGAGCAACTCTTCTTAGTCTAGCATGAAAGGAAGAAACCCCGTTTGCAACGAAGGCCTCAAAGAGGTCCAAATATCCACTTGCAGACATAACAAGCAGAGTGTTTCTAAACTGCTCTAAGAAAAGAAAGGTTAAACTCTGTGAGTTGAAGGCACACATCACAAAGTAGTTTCTGAGAATGATTCTGTCTAGTTTTTATTTGAAGATATTTCCTTTTCTACTGTTGGCATCAAATCGCTTGAAATCTCCACTTGCAAATTCCACAAAAAGAGTGTTTCAAATCTGCTCTGTGCAAAGGGACGTTCCACTCTGTGAGTTGAATACACACAGCACAAAGAAGTTACTGAGAATTCTTCTGTCTAGCATGAAATGAAGAAATCCCGTTTCCAACGAAGGCCTCAATGCGGTCCATATATCCACTTGCAGACTTTACAAACAGAGTGTTTCCAAACTGCTCTATGAAAAGAAAGGTTAAACTATGTGAGTTGAACGCACACATCACAAAGAATTTTCTGAGAATGATTCTGTCTGGTTTTTATTTGAAGATATTTCCCTTTCTACTGTTGGCATCAAATGGCTAGAAATCTCCACTTGCAAATTCCGCAAAAAGAGTGTTTCAAATCTGCTCTGTCTAAAGGGACGTTCCACTCTGTGAGTTGAATGCACACAACACAAAGAATTTACTGAGAATTCTTCCGTCTAGCATTATATGATAAAATCCCGTTTCCAACGAAGGCCTCAAACAGGTCCATATATCCACTTGCAGACTTTACAAACAGTGTGTTTCCAAACTCCTCTATGAAAAGAAAGGTTAAACTCTGTGAGTTGAACGCACACATCACAAAGCACTTTCTGAGAATCATTCTGTCTGGTTATTATACGAAGATATTTCCTTTTCTGCAATTGTCCTCAAATCGCTAGAAATCTCCACGTGAAAATGCCACAGCAAGAGTGTTTCAAATCTGCTCTCTCTAAAGCAAGGTTCAACTCTGTGAGTTGAATACACACAACACAAAAAAGTTACTGAGAACTCTTCTTAGTCTAGCATGAAAGGAAGAAACCCCGTTTGCAACGAAGGCCTCAAGAGGTCCAAATATCCACTTGCATACATAACAAGCAGAGTGTTTCTAAACTGCTCTAAGAAAAGAAAGGTTAAACTCTGTGAGTTGAAGGCACACATCACAAAGTAGTTTCTGAGAATGATTCTGTCTAGTTTTTATTTGAAGATATTTCCTTTTCTACTGTTGGCATCAAATCGCTTGAAATCTCCACTTGCAAACTCCACAAAAAGAGTGTTTCAAATCTGCTCTGTGTAAAGGGACGTTCCACTCTGTGAGTTGAATACACACAGCACAAAGAAGTTACTGAGAATTCTTCTGTCTAGCATGAAATGAAGAAATCCCGTTTCCAACGAAGGCCTCAATGCGGTCCATATATCCACTTGCAGACTTTACAAACAGAGTGTTTCCAAACTGCTCTATGAAAAGAAAGGTTAAACTATGTGAGTTGAACGCACACATCACAAAGAATTTTCTGAGAATGATTCTGTCTGGTTTTTATTTGAAGATATTTCCCTTTCTACTGTTGGCATCAAATGGCTAGAAATCTCCACTTGCAAATTCCACAAAAAGAGTGTTTCAAATCTGCTCTGTCTAAAGGGACGTTCCACTCTGTGAGTTGAATGCACACAACACAAAGAATTTACTGAGAATTCTTCCGTCTAGCATTCAATGAAGAAATCCCGTTTCCAACGAAGGCCTCAAACAGGTCCATATATCCAATTGCAGACTTTACAAACAGTGTGTTTCCAAACTCCTCTATGAAAAGAAAGGTTAAACTCTGTGAGTTGAACGCACACATCACAAAGCACTTTCTGAGAATGATTCTGTCTGGTTATTATACGAAGATATTTCCTTTTCTGCAATTGTCCTCAAATCGCTTGAAATCTCCACCTGAAAATGCCACAGCAAGAGTGTTTCAAATCTGCTCTCTCTAAAGCAAGGTTCAACTCTGTGAGTTGAATACACACAACACAAAAAAGTTACTGAGAACTCTTCTTAGTCTAGCATGAAAGGAAGAAACCCCGTTTGCAAAGAAGGCCTCAAAGAGGTCCAAATATCCACTTGCAGACATAACAAGCAGAGTGTTTCTAAACTGCTCTAAGAAAAGAAAGGTTAAACTCTGTGAGTTGAAGGCACACATCACAAAGTAGTTTCTGAGAATGATTCTGTCTAGTTTTTATTTGAAGATATTTCCTTTTCTACTGTTGGCATCAAATCGCTTGAAATCTCCACTTGCAAATTCCACAAAAAGAGTGTTTCAAATCTGCTCTGTGCAAAGGGACGTTCCACTCTGTGAGTTGAATACACACAGCACAAAGAAGTTACTGAGAATTCTTCTGTCTAGCATGAAATGAAGAAATCCCGTTTCCAACGAAGGCCTCAATGCGGTCCATATATCCACTTGCAGACTTTACAAACAGAGTGTTTCCAAACTGCTCTATGAAAAGAAAGGTTAAACTATGTGAGTTGAACGCACACATCACAAAGAATTTTCTGAGAATGATTCTGTCTGGTTTTTATTTGAAAATATTTCCCTTTCTACTGTTGGCATCAAATGGCTAGAAATCTCCACTTGCAAATTCCGCAAAAAGAGTGTTTCAAATCTGCTCTGTCTAAAGGGACGTTCCACTCTGTGAGTTGAATGCACACAACACAAAGAATTTACTGAGAATTCTTCCGTCTAGCATTCAATGAAGAAATCCCGTTTCCAACGAAGGCCTCAAACAGGTCCATATATCCACTTGCAGACTTTACAAACAGTGTGTTTCCAAACTCCTCTATGAAAAGAAAGGTTAAACTCTGTGAGTGGAACGCACACATCACAAAGCACTTTCTGAGAATGATTCTGTCTGGTTATTATACGAAGATATTTCCTTTTCTGCAATTGTCCTCAAATCGCTTGAAATCTCCACCTGAAAATGCCACAGCAAGAGTGTTTCAAATCTGCTCTCTCTAAAGCAAGGTTCAACTCTGTGAGTTGAATACACACAACACAAAAAAGTTACTGAGAACTCTTCTTAGTCTAGCATGAAAGGAAGAAACCCCGTTTGCAACGAAGGCCTCAAAGAGGTCCAAATATCCACTTGCAGACATAACAAGCAGAGTGTTTCTAAACTGCTCTAAGAAAAGAAAGGTTAAACTCTGTGAGTTGAAGGCACACATCACAAAGTAGTTTCTGAGAATGATTCTGTCTAGTTTTTATTTGAAGATATTTCCTTTTCTACTGTTGGCATCAAATCGCTTGAAATCTCCACTTGCAAACTCCACAAAAAGAGTGTTTCAAATCTGCTCTGTGTAAAGGGACGTTCCACTCTGTGAGTTGAATACACACAGCACAAAGAAGTTACTGAGAATTCTTCTGTCTAGCATGAAATGAAGAAATCCCGTTTCCAACGAAGGCCTCAATGCGGTCCATATATCCACTTGCAGACTTTACAAACAGAGTGTTTCCAAACTGCTCTATGAAAAGAAAGGTTAAACTATGTGAGTTGAACGCACACATCACAAAGAATTTTCTGAGAATGATTCTGTCTGGTTTTTATTTGAAGATATTTCCCTTTCTACTGTTGGCATCAAATGGCTAGAAATCTCCACTTGCAAATTCCGCAAAAAGAGTGTTTCAAATCTGCTCTGTCTAAAGGGACGTTCCACTCTGTGAGTTGAATGCACACAACACAAAGAATTTACTGAGAATTCTTCCGTCTAGCATTCAATGAAGAAATCCCGTTTCCAACGAAGGCCTCAAACAGGTCCATATATCCACTTGCAGACTTTACAAACAGTGTGTTTCCAAACTCCTCTATGAAAAGAAAGGTTAAACTCTGTGAGTGGAACGCACACATCACAAAGCACTTTCTGAGAATGATTCTGTCTGGTTATTATACGAAGATATTTCCTTTTCTGCAATTGTCCTCAAATCGCTTGAAATCTCCACCTGAAAATGCCACAGCAAGAGTGTTTCAAATCTGCTCTCTCTAAAGCAAGGTTCAACTCTGTGAGTTGAATACACACAACACAAAAAAGTTACTGAGAACTCTTCTTAGTCTAGCATGAAAGGAAGAAACCCCGTTTGCAACGAAGGCCTCAAAGAGGTCCAAATATCCACTTGCAGACATAACAAGCAGAGTGTTTCTAAACTGCTCTAAGAAAAGAAAGGTTAAACTCTGTGAGTTGAAGGCACACATCACAAAGTAGTTTCTGAGAATGATTCTGTCTAGTTTTTATTTGAAGATATTTCCTTTTCTACTGTTGGCATCAAATCGCTTGAAATCTCCACTTGCAAACTCCACAAAAAGAGTGTTTCAAATCTGCTCTGTGCAAAGGGACGTTCCACTCTGTGAGTTGAATACACACAGCACAAAGAAGTTACTGAGAATTCTTCTGTCTAGCATGAAATGAAGAAATCCCGTTTCCAACGAAGGCCTCAATGCGGTCCATATATCCACTTGCAGACTTTACAAACAGAGTGTTTCCAAACTGCTCTATGAAAAGAAAGGTTAAACTATGTGAGTTGAACGCACACATCACAAAGAATTTTCTGAGAATGATTCTGTCTGGTTTTTATTTGAAGATATTTCCCTTTCTACTGTTGGCATCAAATGGCTAGAAATCTCCACTTGCAAATTCCGCAAAAAGAGTGTTTCAAATCTGCTCTGTCTAAAGGGACGTTCCACTCTGTGAGTTGAATGCACACAACACAAAGAATTTACTGAGAATTCTTCCGTCTAGCATTCAATGAAGAAATCCCGTTTCCAACGAAGGCCTCAAACAGGTCCATATATCCAATTGCAGACTTTACAAACAGTGTGTTTCCAAACTCCTCTATGAAAAGAAAGGTTAAACTCTGTGAGTTGAACGCACACATCACAAAGCACTTTCGGAGAATGATTCTGTCTAGTTTTTATTTGAAGATATTTCCCTTTCCACTGTTGGCATCAAATGGCTAGAAATCTCCACTTGCAACTTCCGCAAAAAGAGTGTTTCAAATTTGCTCTGTCTAAAGGGACGTTCCACTGTGTGAGTTGAATGCACACAACACAAAGAATTTACTGAGAATTCTTCCGTCTAGCATTCAATGAAGAAATCCCGTTTCCAACGAAGGCCTCAAACAGGTCCATATATCCACTTGCAGACTTTACAAACAGTGTGTTTCCAAACTCCTCTATGAAAAGAAAGGTTAAACTCTGTGAGTTGAACGCACACATCACAAAGCACTTTCTGTGAATGATTTCTGTCTGGTTATTATACGAAGTATATTTCCTTTTCTGCAATTGTCCTCAAATCGCTTGAAATCTCCACCTGAAAATGCCACAGCGAGAGTGTTTCAAATCTGCCCTCTCTAAAGCAAGGTTCAACTCTGTGAGTTGAATACACACAACACAAAAAAGTTACTGAGAACTCTTCTTAGTCTAGCATTAAAGGAAGAAACCCCGTTTGCAACGAAGGCCTCAAAGAGGTCCAAATATCCACTTGCAGACATAACAAGCAGAGTGTTTCTAAACTGCTCTAAGAAAAGAAAGGTTAAACTCTGTGAGTTGAAGGCACACATCACAAAGTAGTTTCTGAGAATGATTCTGTCTAGTTTTTATTTGAAGATATTTCCTTTTCTACTGTTGGCATCAAATCGCTTGAAATCTCCACTTGCAAACTCCACAAAAAGAGTGTTTCAAATCTGCTCTGTGCAAAGGGACGTTCCACTCTGTGAGTTGAATACACACAGCACAAAGAAGTTACTGAGAATTCTTCTGTCTAGCATGAAATGAAGAAATCTCGTTTCCAACGAAGGCCTCAATGCGGTCCATATATCCACTTGCAGACTTTACAAACAGAGTGTTTCCAAACTGCTCTATGAAAAGAAAGGTTAAACTATGTGAGTTGAACGCACACATCACAAAGAATTTTCTGAGAATGATTCTGTCTGGTTTTTATTTGAAGATATTTCCCTTTCTACTGTTGGCATCAAATGGCTAGAAATCTCCACTTGCAAATTCCGCAAAAAGAGTGTTTCAAATCTGCTCTGTCTTAAGGGACGTTCCACTCTGTCAGTTGAATGCACACAACACAAAGAATTTACTGAGAATTCTTCCGTCTAGCATTCAATGAAGAAATCCCGTTGCCAACGAAGGCCTCAAACAGGTCCATATATCCAATTGCAGACTTTACAAACAGTGTGTTTCCAAACTCCTCAATGAAAAGAAAGGTTAAACTCTGTGAGTTGAATGCACACATCACAAAGCACTTTCTGAGAATGATTCTGTCTGGTTGTTATACGAAGATATTTCCTTTTCTGCAATTGTCCTCAAATCGCTTGAAATCTCCACCTGAAAATGCCACAGCAAGAGTGTTTCAAATCTGCTCTCTCTAAAGCAAGGTTCAGCTCTGTGAGTTGAATACACACAACACAAAAAAGTTACTGAGAACTCTTCTTAGTCTAGCATGAAAGGAAGAAACCCCGTTTGCAACGAAGGCCTCAAAGAGGTCCAAATATCCACTTGCAGACATAACAAGCAGAGTGTTTCTAAACTGCTCTAAGAAAAGAAAGGTTAAACTCTGTGAGTTGAAGGCACACATCACAAAGTAGTTTCTGAGAATGATTCTGTCTAGTTTTTATTTGAAGATATTTCCTTTTCTACTGTTGGCATCAAATCGCTTGAAATCTCCACTTGCAAACTCCACAAAAAGAGTGTTTCAAATCTGCTCTGTGCAAAGGGACGTTCCACTCTGTGAGTTGAATACACACAGCACAAAGAAGTTACTGAGAATTCTTCTGTCTAGCATGAAATGAAGAAATCCCGTTTCCAACGAAGGCCTCAATGCGGTCCATATATCCACTTGCAGACTTTACAAACAGAGTGTTTCCAAACTGCTCTATGAAAAGAAAGGTTAAACTATGTGAGTTGAACGCACACATCACAAAGAATTTTCTGAGAATGATTCTGTCTGGTTTTTATTTGAAGATATTTCCCTTTCTACTGTTGGCATCAAATGGCTAGAAATCTCCACTTGCAAATTCCGCAAAAAGAGTGTTTCAAATCTGCTCTGTCTAAAGGGACGTTCCACTCTGTGAGTTGAATGCACACAACACAAAGAATTTACTGAGAATTCTTCCGTCTAGCATTCAATGAAGAAATCCCGTTTCCAACGAAGGCCTCAAACAGGTCCATATATCCAATTGCAGACTTTACAAACAGTGTGTTTCCAAACTCCTCTATGAAAAGAAAGGTTAAACTCTGTGAGTTGAACGCACACATCACAAAGCACTTTCTGAGAATGATTCTGTCTGGTTATTATACGAAGATATTTCCTTTTCTGCAATTGTCCTCAAATCGCTTGAAATCTCCACGTGAAAATGCCACAGCAAGAGTGTTTCAAATCTGCTCTCTCTAAAGCAAGGTTCAACTCTGTGAGTTGAATACACACAACACAAAAAAGTTACTGAGAACTCTTCTTAGTCTAGCATGAAAGGAAGAAACCCCGTTTGCAACGAAGGCCTCAAAGAGGTCCAAATATCCACTTGCAGACATAACAAGCAGAGTGTTTCTAAACTGCTCTAAGAAAAGAAAGGTTAAACTCTGTGAGTTGAAGGCACACATCACAAAGTAGTTTCTGAGAATGATTCTGTCTAGTTTTTATTTGAAGATATTTCCTTTTCTACTGTTGGCATCAAATCGCTTGAAATCTCCACTTGCAAATTCCACAAAAAGAGTGTTTCAAATCTGCTCTGTGTAAAGGAACGTTCCACTCTGTGAGTTGAATACACACAGCACAAAGAAGTTACTGAGAATTCTTCTGTCTAGCATTCAATGAAGAAATCCCGTTTCCAAGGAATGCCTCAAAGCGGTACATATATCCACTTGCAGATTATACAAAGAGTGTGTTTCGAAACTGCTCTATGAAAAGAAAGGTTAAACTATGTGAGCTGAACGTACACATCACAAAGAATTTTCTGAGAATGATTCTGTCTGGTTTTTATTTGAAGATATTTCCCTTTCTACTGTTGGCATCAAATGGCTAGAAATCTCCACTTGCAAATTCCGCAAAAAGAGTGTTTCAAATCTGCTCTGTCTAAAGGGACGTTCCACTCTGTGAGTTGAATGCACACAACACAAAGAATTTACTGAGAATTCTTCCGTCTAGCATTCAATGAAGAAATCCCGTTTCCAACGAAGGCCTCAAACAGGTCCATATATCCACTTGCAGAGTTTACAAACAGTGTGTTTCCAAACTCCTCTATGAAAAGAAAGGTTAAACTCTGTGAGTGGAACGCACACATCACAAAGCACTTTCTGAGAATGATTCTGTCTGGTTATTATACGAAGATATTTCCTTTTCTGCAATTGTCCTCAAATCGCTTGAAATCTCCACCTGAAAATGCCACAGCAAGAGTGTTTCAAATCTGCTCTCTCTAAAGCAAGGTTCAACTCTGTGAGTTGAATACACACAACACAAAAAAGTTACTGAGAACTCTTCTTAGTCTAGCATGAAAGGAAGAAACCCCGTTTGCAACGAAGGCCTCAAAGAGGTCCAAATATCCACTTGCAGACATAACAAGCAGAGTGTTTCTAAACTGCTCTAAGAAAAGAAAGGTTAAACTCTGTGAGTTGAAGGCACACATCACAAAGTAGTTTCTGAGAATGATTCTGTCTAGTTTTTATTTGAAGATATTTCCTTTTCTACTGTTGGCATCAAATCGCTTGAAATCTCCACTTGCAAACTCCACAAAAAGAGTGTTTCAAATCTGCTCTGTGCAAAGGGACGTTCCACTCTGTGAGTTGAATACACACAGCACAAAGAAGTTACTGAGAATTCTTCTGTCTAGCATGAAATGAAGAAATCCCGTTTCCAACGAAGGCCTCAATGCGGTCCATATATCCACTTGCAGACTTTACAAACAGAGTGTTTCCAAACTGCTCTATGAAAAGAAAGGTTAAACTATGTGAGTTGAACGCACACATCACAAAGAATTTTCTGAGAATGATTCTGTCTGGTTTTTATTTGAAGATATTTCCCTTTCTACTGTTGGCATCAAATGGCTAGAAATCTCCACTTGCAAATTCCGCAAAAAGAGTGTTTCAAATCTGCTCTGTCTAAAGGGACGTTCCACTCTGTGAGTTGAATGCACACAACACAAAGAATTTACTGAGAATTCTTCCGTCTAGCATTCAATGAAGAAATCCCGTTTCCAACGAAGGCCTCAAACAGGTCCATATATACACTTGCAGACTTTACAAACAGTGTGTTTCCAAACTCCTCTATGAAAAGAAAGGTTAAACTCTGTGAGTTGAACGCACACATCACAAAGCACTTTCTGAGAATGATTCTGTCTGGTTATTATACGAAGATATTTCCTTTTCTGCAATTGTCCTCAAATCGCTTGAAATCTCCACCTGAAAATGCCACAGCAAGAGTGTTTCAAATCTGCTCTCTCTAAAGCAAGGTTCAACTCTGTGGGTTGAATACACACAACACAAAAAAGTTACTGAGAACTCTTCTTAGTCTAGCATGAAAGGAAGAAACCCCGTTTGCAACGAAGGCCTCAAAGAGGTCCAAATATCCACTTGCAGACATAACAAGCAGAGTGTTTCTAAGCTGCTCTAAGAAAAGAAAGATTAAACTCTGTGAGTTGAAGGCACACATCACAAAGTAGTTTCTGAGAATGATTCTTCTGTCTAGTTTTTATTTGAAGATATTTCCTTTTCTACTGTTGGCATCAAATCGCTTGAAATCTCCACTTGCAAACTCCACAAAAAGAGTGTTTCAAATCTGCTCTGTGTAAAGGGACGTTCCACTCTGTGAGTTGAATACACACAGCACAAAGAAGTTACTGAGAATTCTTCTGTCTAGCATAAAATGAAGAAATCCCGTTTCCAACGAAGGCCTCAATGCGGTCCATATATCCACTTGCAGACTTTACAAACAGAGTGTTTCCAAACTGCTCTATGAAAAGAAAGGTTAAACTATGTGAGTTGAACGCACACATCACAAAGAATTTTCTGAGAATGATTCTGTCTGGTTTTTATTTGAAGATATTTCCCTTTCTACTGTTGGCATCAAATGGCTAGAAATCTCCACTTGCAAATTCCGCAAAAAGAGTGTTTCAAATCTGCTCTGTCTAAAGGGACGTTCCACTCTGTGAGTTGAATGCACACAACACAAAGAATTTACTGAGAATTCTTCCGTCTAGCATTCAATGAAGAAATCCCGTTTCCAACGAAGGCCTCAAACAGGTCCATATATCCAATTGCAGACTTTACAAACAGTGTGTTTCCAAACTCCTCTATGAAAAGAAAGGTTAAACTCTGTGAGTTGAACGCACACATCACAAAGCACTTTCTGAGAATGATTCTGTCTGGTTATTATACGAAGATATTTCCTTTTCTGCAATTGTCCTCAAATCGCTTGAAATCTCCACCTGAAAATGCCACAGCAAGAGTGTTTCAAATCTGCTCTCTCTAAAGCAAGGTTCAACTCTGTGAGTTGAATACACACAACACAAAAAAGTTACTGAGAACTCTTCTTAGTCTAGCATGAAAGGAAGAAACCCCGTTTGCAACGAAGGCCTCAAAGAGGTCCAAATATCCACTTGCAGACATAACAAGCAGAGTGTTTCTAAACTGCTCTAAGAAAAGAAAGGTTAAACTCTGTGAGTTGAAGGCACACATCACAAAGTAGTTTCTGAGAATGATTCTGTCTAGTTTGTATTTGAAGATATTTCCTTTTCTACTGTTGGCATCAAATCGCTTGAAATCTCCAATTGCAAATTCCACAAAAAGAGTGTTTCAAATCTGCTCTGTGGAAAGGGACGTTCCACTCTCTGAGTTGAATACACACAGCACAAAGAAGTTACTGAGAATTCTTCTGTCTAGCATGAAATGAAGAAATCCCGTTTCCAACGAAGGCCTCAATGCGGTCCATATATCCACTTGCAGACTTTACAAACAGAGTGTTTCCAAACTGCTCTATGAAAAGAAAGGTTAAACTATGTGAGTTGAACGCACACATCACAAAGAATTTTCTGAGAATGATTCTGTCTGGTTTTTATTTGAAGATATTTCCCTTTCTACTGTTGGCATCAAATGGCTAGAAATCTCCACTTGCAAATTCCGCAAAAAGAGTGTTTCAAATCTGCTCTGTCTAAAGGGACGTTCCACTCTGTGAGTTGAATGCACACAACACAAAGAATTTACTGAGAATTCTTCCGTCTAGCATTCAATGAAGAAATCCCGTTTCCAACGAAGGCCTCAAAGAGGTCCATATATCCACTTGCAGACTTTACAAACAGTGTGTTTCCAAACTCCTCTATGAAAAGAAAGGTTAAACTCTGTGAGTGGAACGCACACATCACAAAGCACTTTCTGAGAATGATTCTGTCTGGTTATTATACGAAGATATTTCCTTTTCTGCAATTGTCCTCAAATCGCTTGAAATCTCCACCTGAAAATGCCACAGCAAGAGTGTTTCAAATCTGCTCTCTCTAAAGCAAGGTTCAACTCTGTGAGTTGAATACACACAACACAAAAAAGTTACTGAGAACTCTTCTTAGTCTAGCATGAAAGGAAGAAACCCCGTTTGCAACGAAGGCCTCAAAGAGGTCCAAATATCCACTTGCAGACATAACAAGCAGAGTGTTTCTAAACTGCTCTAAGAAAAGAAAGGTTAAACTCTGTGAGTTGAAGGCACACATCACAAAGTAGTTTCTGAGAATGATTCTGTCTAGTTTTTATTTGAAGATATTTCCTTTTCTACTGTTGGCATCAAATCGCTTGAAATCTCCACTTGCAAACTCCACAAAAAGAGTGTTTCAAATCTGCTCTATGTAAAGGGACGTTCCACTCTGTGAGTTGAATACACACAGCACAAAGAAGGTACTGAGAATTCTTCTGTCTAGCATGAAATGAAGAAATCCCGTTTCCAACGAAGGCCTCAATGCGGTCCATATATCCACTTGCAGACTTTACAAACAGAGTGTTTCCAAACTGCTCTATGAAAAGAAAGGTTAAACTATGTGAGTTGAACGCACACATCACAAAGAATTTTCTGAGAATGATTCTGTCTGGTTTTTATTTGAAGATATTTCCCTTTCTACTGTTGGCATCAAATGGCTAGAAATCTCCACTTGCAAATTCCGCAAAAAGAGTGTTTCAAATCTGCTCTGTCTAAAGGGACGTTCCACTCTGTGAGTTGAATGCACACAACACAAAGAATTTACTGAGAATTCTTCCGTCTAGCATTCAATGAAGAAATCCCGTTTCCAACGAAGGCCTCAAACAGGTCCATATATCCACTTGCAGACTTTACAAACAGTGTGTTTCCAAACTCCTCTATGAAAAGAAAGGTTAAACTCTGTGAGTTGAACGCACACATCACAAAGCCCTTTCTGA
This sequence comes from Homo sapiens, assembly GCF_000001405.40. Lineage (NCBI taxonomy): Eukaryota > Metazoa > Chordata > Mammalia > Primates > Hominidae > Homo > Homo sapiens. The sequence goes on along the minus strand of NC_000007.14, from coordinate 58,338,179 downwards.
GAATGATTCTGTCTGGTTATTATACGAAGATATTTCCTTTTCTGCAATTGTCCTCAAATCGCTTGAAATCTCCACCTGAAAATGCCACAGCAAGAGTGTTTCAAATCTGCTCTCTCTAAAGCAAGGTTCAACTCTGTGAGTTGAATACACACAACACAAAAAAGTTACTGAGAACTCTTCTTAGTCTAGCATGAAAGGAAGAAACCCCGTTTGCAACGAAGGCCTCAAAGAGGTCCAAATATCCACTTGCAGACATAACAAGCAGAGTGTTTCTAAACTGCTCTAAGAAAAGAAAGGTTAAACTCTGTGAGTTGAAGGCACACATCACAAAGTAGTTTCTGAGAATGATTCTGTCTAGTTTTTATTTGAAGATATTTCCTTTTCTACTGTTGGCATCAAATCGCTTGAAATCTCCACTTGCAAACTCCACAAAAAGAGTGTTTCAAATCTTCTCTGTGTAAAGGGACGTTCCACTCTGTGAGTTGAATACACACAGCACAAAGAAGTTACTGAGAATTCTTCTGTCTAGCATGAAATGAAGAAATCCCGTTTCCAACGAAGGCCTCAATGCGGTCCATATATCCACTTGCAGACTTTACAAACAGAGTGTTTCCAAACTGCTCTATGAAAAGAAAGGTTAAACTATGTGAGTTGAACGCACACATCACAAAGAATTTTCTGAGAATGATTCTGTCTGGTTTTTATTTGAAGATATTTCCCTTTCTACTGTTGGCATCAAATGGCTAGAAATCTCCACTTGCAAATTCCGCAAAAAGAGTGTTTCAAATCTGCTCTGTCTAAAGGGACGTTCCACTCTGTCAGTTGAATGCACACAACACAAAGAATTTACTGAGAATTCTTCCGTCTAGCATTCAATGAAGAAATCCCGTTTCCAACGAAGGCCTCAAACAGGTCCCTATATCCAATTGCAGACTTTACAAACAGTGTGTTTCCAAACTCCTCTATGAAAAGAAAGGTTAAACTCTGTGAGTTGAACGCACACATCACAAAGCACTTTCTGAGAATGATTCTGTCTGGTTATTATACGAAGATATTTCCTTTTCTGCAATTTGTCCTCAAATCGCTTGAAATCTCCACCTGAAAATGCCACAGCAAGAGTGTTTCAAATCTGCTCTCTCTAAAGCAAGGTTCAACTCTGTGAGTTGAATACACACAACACAAAAAAGTTACTGAGAACTCTTCTTAGTCTAGCATGAAAGGAAGAAACCCCGTTTGCAACGAAGGCCTCAAAGAGGTCCAAATATCCACTTGCAGACATAACAAGCAGAGTGTTTCTAAACTGCTCTAAGAAAAGAAAGGTTAAACTCTGTGAGTTGAAGGCACACATCACAAAGTAGTTTCTGAGAATGATTCTGTCTAGTTTTTATTTGAAGATATTTCCTTTTCTACTGTTGGCATCAAATCGCTTGAAATCTCCACTTGCAAATTCCACAAAAAGAGTGTTTCAAATCTGCTCTGTGCAAAAGGACGTTCCACTCTGTGAGTTGAATACACACAGCACAAAGAAGTTACTGAGAATTGCTTCTGTCTAGCATGAAATGAAGAAATCCCGTTTCCAACGAAGGCCTCAATGCGGTCCATATATCCACTTGCAGACTTTACAAACAGAGTGTTTCCAAACTGCTCTATGAAAAGAAAGGTTAAACTATGTGAGTTGAACGCACACATCACAAAGAATTTTCTGAGAATGATTCTGTCTGGTTTTTATTTGAAGATATTTCCCTTTCTACTGTTGGCATCAAATGGCTAGAAATCTCCACTTGCAAATTCCGCAAAAAGAGTGTTTCAAATCTGCTCTGTCTAAAGGGACGTTCCACTCTGTGAGTTGAATGCACACAACACAAAGAATTTACTGAGAATTCTTCCGTCTAGCATTCAATGAAGAAATCCCGTTTCCAACGAAGGCCTCAAACAGGTCCATATATCCAATTGCAGACTTTACAAACAGTGTGTTTCCAAACTCCTCTATGAAAAGAAAGGTTAAACTCTGTGAGTTGAACGCACACATCACAAAGCACTTTCTGAGAATGATTCTGTCTGGTTGTTATACGAAGATATTTCCTTTTCTGCAATTGTCCTCAAATCGCTTGAAATCTCCACCTGAAAATGCCACAGCAAGAGTGTTTCAAATCTGCTCTCTCTAAAGCAAGGTTCAACTCTGTGAGTTGAATACACACAACACAAAAAAGTTACTGAGAACTCTTCTTAGTCTAGCATGAAAGGAAGAAACCCCGTTTGCAACGAAGGCCTCAAAGAGGTCCAAATATCCACTTGCAGACATAACAAGCAGAGTGTTTCTAAACTGCTCTAAGAAAAGAAAGGTTAAACTCTGTGAGTTGAAGGCACACATCACAAAGTAGTTTCTGAGAATGATTCTGTCTAGTTTTTATTTGAAGATATTTCCTTTTCTACTGTTGGCATCAAATCGCTTGAAATCTCCACTTGCAAACTCCACAAAAAGAGTGTTTCAAATCTGCTCTGTGCAAAGGGACGTTCCACTCTGTGAGTTGAATACACACAGCACAAAGAAGTTACTGAGAATTCTTCTGTCTAGCATGAAATGAAGAAATCCCGTTTCCAACGAAGGCCTCAATGCGGTCCATATATCCACTTGCAGACTTTACAAACAGAGTGTTTCCAAACTGCTCTATGAAAAGAAAGGTTAAACTATGTGAGTTGAATGCACACATCACAAAGAATTTTCTGAGAATGATTCTGTCTGGTTTTTATTTGAAGATATTTCCCTTTCTACTGTTGGCATCAAATGGCTAGAAATCTCCACTTGCAAATTCCGCAAAAAGAGTGTTTCAAATCTGCTCTGTCTAAAGGGACGTTCCACTCTGTGAGTTGAATGCACACAACACAAAGAATTTACTGAGAATTCTTCCGTCTAGCATTCAATGAAGAAATCCCGTTTCCAACGGAGGTCTCAAACAGGTCCATATATCCAATTGCAGACTTTACAAACAGTGTGTTTCCAAGCTCCTCTATGAAAAGAAAGGTTAAACTCTGTGAGTTGAACGCACACATCACAAAGCACTTTCTGAGAATGATTCTGTCTGGTTATTATACGAAGATATTTCCTTTTCTGCAATTGTCCTCAAATCGCTTGAAATCTCCACCTGAAAATTCCACAGCGAGAGTGTTTCAAATCTGCTCTCTCTAAAGCAAGGTTCAACTCTGTGAGTTGAATACACACAACACAAAAAAGTTACTGAGAACTCTTCTTAGTCTAGCATGAAAGGAAGAAACCCCGTTTGCAACGAAGGCCTCAAAGAGGTCCAAATATCCACTTGCAGACATAACAAGCAGAGTGTTTCTAAACTGCTCTAAGAAAAGAAAGGTTAAACTCTGTGAGTTGAAGGCACACATCACAAAGTAGTTTCTGAGAATGATTCTGTCTAGTTTTTATTTGAAGATATTTCCTTTTCTACTGTTGGCATCAAATCGCTTGAAATCTCCACTTGCAAACTCCACAAAAAGAGTGTTTCAAATCTGCTCTGTGCAAAGGGACATTCCACTCTGTGAGTTGAATACACGCAGCACAAAGAAGTTACTGAGAATTCTTCTGTCTAGCATGAAATGAAGAAATCCCGTTTCCAACGAAGGCCTCAATGCGGTCCATATATCCACTTGCAGACTTTACAAACAGAGTGTTTCCAAACTCCTCTATGAAAAGAAAGGTTAAACTATGTGAGTTGAAAGTACACATCACAAAGAATTTTCTGAGAATGATTCTGTCTGGTTTTTATTTGAAGATATTTCCCTTTCTACTGTTGGCATCAAATGGCTAGAAATCTCCACTTGCAAATTCCGCAAAAAGAGTGTTTCAAATCTGCTCTGTCTAAAGGGACGTTCCACTCTGTGAGTTGAATGCACACAACACAAAGAATTTACTGAGAATTCTTCCGTCTAGCATTCAATGAAGAAATCCCGTTTCCAACGAAGGCCTCAAACAGGTCCATATATCCAATTGCAGACTTTACAAACAGTGTGTTTCCAAACTCCTCTATGAAAAGAAAGGTTAAACTCTGTGAGTTGAACGCACACATCACAAAGCACTTTCTGAGAATGATTCTGTCTGGTTGTTATACGAAGATATTTCCTTTTCTGCAATTGTCCTCAAATCGCTTGAAATCTCCACCTGAAAATGCCACAGCAAGAGTGTTTCAAATCTGCTCTCTCTAAAGCAAGGTTCAACTCTGTGACTTGAATACACACAACACAAAAATGTTACTGAGAACTCTTCTTAGTCTAGCATGAAAGGAAGAAACCCCGTTTGCAACGAAGGCCTCAAAGAGGTCCAAATATCCACTTGCAGACATAACAAACAGAGTGTTTCTAAACTGCTCTAAGAAAAGAAAGGTTAAACTCTGTGAGTTGAAGGCACACATCACAAAGTAGTTTCTGAGAATGATTCTGTCTAGTTTTTATTTGAAGATATTTCCTTTTCTACTGTTGGCATCAAATCGCTTAAAATCTCCACTTGCAAATTCCACAAAAAGAGTGTTTCAAATCTGCTCTGTGCAAAGCGACGTTCCACTCTGTGAGTTGAATACACACAGCACAAAGAAGTTACTGAGAATTCTTCTGTCTAGCATGAAATGAAGAAATCCCGTTTCCAACGAAGGCCTCAATGCGGTCCATATATCCACTTGCAGACTTTACAAACAGAGTGTTTCCAAACTGCTCTATGAAAAGAAAGGTTAAACTATGTGAGTTGAACGCACACATCACAAAGAATTTTCTGAGAATGATTCTGTCTGGTTTTTATTTGAAGATGTTTCCCTTTCTACTGTTGGCATCAAATGGCTAGAAATCTCCACTTGCAAATTCCGCAAAAAGAGTGTTTCAAATCTGCTCTGTCTAAAGGGACGTTCCACTCTGTGAGTTGAATGCACACAACACAAAGAATTTACTGAGAATTCTTCCGTCTAGCATTCAATGAAGAAATCCCGTTTCCAACGAAGGCCTCAAACAGGTGCATATATCCAATTGCAGACTTTACAAACAGTGTGTTTCCAAACTCCTCTATGAAAAGAAAGGTTAAACTCTGTGAGTTGAACGAACACATCACAAAGCACTTTCTGAGAATGATTCTGTCTGGTTGTTATACGAAGATATTTCCTTTTCTGCAATTGTCCTCAAATCGCTTGAAATCTCCACCTGAAAATGCCACAGCAAGAGTGTTTCAAATCTGCTCTCTCTAAAGCAAGGTTCAACTCTGTGAGTTGAATACACACAACACAAAAAAGTTACTGAGAACTCTTCTTAGTCTAGCATGAAAGGAAGAAATCCCGTTTGCAACGAAGGCCTCAAAGAGGTCCAAATATCCACTTGCAGACATAAGAAGCAGAGTGTTTCTAAACTGCTCTAAGAAAAGAAAGGTTAAACTCTGTGAGTTGAAGGCACACATCACAAAGTAGTTTCTGAGAATGATTTCTGTCTAGTTTTTATTTGAAGATATTTCCTTTTCTACTGTTGGCATCAAATCGCTTGAAATCTCCACTTGCAAACTCCACAAAAAGAGTGTTTCAAATCTGCTCTGTGCAAAGGGACGTTCCACTCTGTGAGTTGAATACACACAGCACAAAGAAGTTACTGAGAATTCTTCTGTCTAGCATGAAATGCAGAAATCCCGTTTCCAACGAAGGCCTCAATGCGGTCCATATATCCACTTGCAAACTTTACAAACAGAGTGTTTCCAAACTGCTCTATGAAAAGAAAGGTTAAACTATGTGAGTTGAACGCACACATCACAAAGAATTTTCTGAGAATGATTCTGTCTGGTTTTTATTTGAAGATATTTCCCTTTCTACTGTTGGCATCAAATGGCTAGAAATCTCCACTTGCAAATTCCGCAAAAAGAGTGTTTCAAATCTGCTCTGTCTAAAGGGACGTTCCACTCTGTGAGTTGAATGCACACAACACAAAGAATTTACTGAGAATTCTTCCGTCTAGCAGTCAATGAAGAAATCCCGTTTCCAACGAAGGCCTCAAACAGGTCCATATATCCAATTGCAGACTTTACAAACAGTGTGTTTCCAAACTCCTCTATGAAAAGAAAGGTTAAACTCTGTGAGTTGAACGCACACATCACAAAGCACTTTCTGAGAATGATTCTGTCTGGTTGTTATACGAAGATATTTCCTTTTCTGCAATTGTCCTCAAATCGCTTGAAATCTCCACCTGAAAATGCCACAGCAAGAGTGTTTCAAATCTGCTCTCTCTAAAGCAAGGTTCAACTCTGTGAGTTGAATACACACAACACAAAAAAGTTACTGAGAACTCTTCTTAGTCTAGCATGAAAGGAAGAAACCCCGTTTGCAACGAAGGCCTCAAAGAGGTCCAAATATCCACTTGCAGACATAACAAGCAGAGTGTTTCTAAACTGCTCTAAGAAAAGAAAGGTTAAACTCTGTGAGTTGAAGGCACACATCACAAAGTAGTTTCTGAGAATGATTCTGTCTAGTTTTTATTTGAAGATATTTCCTTTTCTACTGTTGGCATCAAATCGCTTGAAATCTCCACTTGCAAATTCCACAAAAAGAGTGTTTCAAATCTGCTCTGTGCAAAGGGACGTTCCACTCTGTGAGTTGAATACACACAGCACAAAGAAGTTACTGAGAATTCTTCTGTCTAGCATGAAATGAAGAAATCCCGTTTCCAACGAAGGCCTCAATGCGGTCCATATATCCACTTGCAGACTTTACAAACAGAGTGTTTCCAAACTGCTCTATGAAAAGAAAGGTTAAACTATGTGAGTTGAACGCACACATCACAAAGAATTTTCTGAGAATGATTCTGTCTGGTTTTTATTTGAAGATATTTCCCTTTCTACTGTTGGCATCAAATGGCTAGAAATCTCCACTTGCAAATTCCGCAAAAAGAGTGTTTCAAATCTGCTCTGTCTAAAGGGACGTTCCACTCTGTGAGTTGAATGCACACAACACAAAGAATTTACTGAGAATTCTTCCGTCTAGCATTCAATGAAGAAATCCCGTTTCCAACGAAGGCCTCAAACAGGTCCATATATCCACTTGCAGAGTTTACAAACAGTGTGTTTCCAAACTCCTCTATGAAAAGAAAGGTTAAACTCTGTGAGTGGAACGCACACATCACAAAGCACTTTCTGAGAATGATTCTGTCTGGTTATTATACGAAGATATTTCCTTTTCTGCAATTGTCCTCAAAACGATTGAAATCTCCACCTGAAAATGCCACAGCAAGAGTGTTTCAAATCTGCTCTCTCTAAAGCAAGGTTCAACTCTGTGAGTTGAATACACACAACACAGAAAAGTTACTGAGAACTCTTCTTAGTCTAGCATGAAAGGAAGAAACCCCGTTTGCAACGAAGGCCTCAAAGAGGTCCAAATATCCACTTGCAGACATAACAAGCAGAGTGTTTCTAAACTGCTCTAAGAAAAGAAAGGTTAAACTCTGTGAGTTGAAGGCACACATCACAAAGTAGTTTCTGAGAATGATTCTGTCTAGTTTTTATTTGAAGATATTTCCTTTTCTACTGTTGGCATCAAATCGCTTGAAATCTCCACTTGCAAACTCCACAAAAAGAGTGTTTCAAATCTGCTCTGTGTAAAGGGACGTTCCACTCTGTGAGTTGAATACACACAGCACAAAGAAGTTACTGAGAATTCTTCTGTCTAGCATGAAATGAAGAAATCCCGTTTCCAACGAAGGCCTCAATGCGGTCCATATATCCACTTTCAGACTTTACAAACAGAGTGTTTCAAAACTGCTCTATGAAAAGAAAGGTTAAACTATGTGAGTTGAACGCACACATTACAAAGAATTTTCTGAGAATGATTCTGTCTGGTTTTTATTTGAAGATATTTCCCTTTCTACTGTTGACATCAAATGGGTAGAAATCTCCACTTGCAAATTCCGCAAAAAGAGTGTTTCAAATCTGCTCTGTCTAAAGGGACGTTCCACTCTGTGAGTTCAATGCACACAACACAAAGAATTTACTGAGAATTCTTCCCGTCTAGCATTCAATGAAGAAATCCCGTTTCCAACGAAGGCCTCAAACAGGTCCATATATCCACTTGCAGACTTTACAAACAGTGTGTTTCCAAACTCCTCTATGAAAAGAAAGGTTAAACTCTGTGAGTTGAACGCACACATCACAAAGCACTTTCTGAGAATGATTCTGTCTGGTTATTATACGAAGATATTTCCTTTTCTGCAATTGTCCTCAAATCGCTTGAAATCTCCACCTGAAAATGCCACAGCAAGAGTGTTTCAAATCTGCTCTCTCTAAAGCAAGGTTCAACTCTGTGAGTTGAATACACACAACACAAAAAAGTTACTGAGAACTCTTCTTAGTCTAGCATGAAAGGAAGAAACCCCGTTTGCAACGAAGGCCTCAAAGAGGTCCAAATATCCACTTGCAGACATAACAAGCAGAGTGTTTCTAAACTGCTCTAAGAAAAGAAAGGTTAAACTCTGTGAGTTGAAGGCACACATCACAAAGTAGTTTTTGAGAATGATTCTGTCTAGTTTTTATTTGAAGATATTTCCTTTTCTACTGTTGGCATCAAATCGCTTGAAATCTCCACTTGCAAACTCCACAAAAAGAGTGTTTCAAATCCGCTCTGTGCAAAGGGACGTTCCACTCTGTGAGTTGAATACACACAGCACAAAGAAGTTACTGAGAATGCTTCTGTCTAGCATGAAATGAAGAAATCCCGTTTCCAACGAAGGCCTCAATGCGGTCCATATATCCACTTGCAGACTTTACAGAGTGTTTCCAAACTGCTCTATGAAAAGAAAGGTTAAACTATGTGAGTTGAACGCACACATCACAAAGAATTTTCTGAGAATGATTCTGTCTGGTTTTTATTTGAAGATATTTCCCTTTCTACTGTTGGCATGAAATGGCTAGAAATCTCCACTTGCAAATTCCGCAAAAAGAGTGTTTCAAATCTGCTCTGTCTAAAGGGACGTTCCACTCTGTCAGTTGAATGCACACAACACAAAGAATTTACTGAGAATTCTTCCGTCTAGCATTCAATGAAGAAATCCCGTTTCCAACGAAGGCCTCAAACAGGTCCATATATCCAATTGCAGACTTTACAAACAGTGTGTTTCCAAACTCCTCTATGAAAAGAAAGGTTAAACTCTGTGAGTTGAACGCACACATCACAAAGCACTTTCTGAGAATGATTCTGTCTGGTTATTATACGAAGATATTTCCTTTTCTGCAATTGTCCTCAAATCGCTTGAAATCTCCAACTGAAAATGCCACAGCAAGAGTGTTTCAAATCTGCTCTCTCTAAAGCAAGGTTCAACTCTGTGAGTTGAATACACACAACACAAAAAAGTTACTGAGAACTCTTCTTAGTCTAGCATTAAAGGAAGAAACCCTGTTTGCAACGAAGGCCTCAAAGAGGTCCAAATATCCACTTGCAGACATAACAAGCAGAGTGTTTCTAAACTGCTCTAAGAAAAGAAAGGTTAAACTCTGTGAGTTGAAGGCACACATCACAAAGTAGTTTCTGAGAATGATTCTGTCTAGTTTTTATTTGAAGATATTTCCTTTTCTACTGTTGGCATCAAATCGCTTGAAATCTCCACTTGCAAACTCCACAAAAAGAGTGTTTCAAATCTGCTCTGTGTAAAGGGACGTTCCACTCTGTGAGTTGAATACACACAGCACAAAGAAGTTACTGAGAATTCTTCTGTCTAGCATGAAATGAAGAAATCCCGTTTCCAACGAAGGCCTCAATGCGGTCCATATATCCACTTGCAGACTTTACAAACAGAGTGTTTCCAAACTGCTCTATGAAAAGAAAGGTTAAACTATGTGAGTTGAACGCACACATCACAAAGAATTTTCTGAGAATGATTCTGTCTGGTTTTTATTTGAAGATATTTCCCTTTCTACTGTTGGCATCAAATGGCTAGAAATCTCCACTTGCAAATTCCGCAAAAAGAGTGTTTCAAATCTGCTCTGTCTAAAGGGACGTTCCACTCTGTGAGTTGAATGCACACAACACAAAGAATTTACTGAGAATTCTTCCGTCTAGCATGCAATGAAGAAATCCCGTTTCCAACGAAGGCCTCAAACAGGTCCATATATCCAATTGCAGACTTTACAAACAGTGTGTTTCCAAACTCCTCTATGAAAAGAAAGGTTAAACTCTGTGAGTTGAACGCACACATCACAAAGCACTTTCTGAGAATGATTCTGTCTGGTTGTTATACGAAGATATTTCCTTTTCTGCAATTGTCCTCAAATCGCTTGAAATCTCCACCTGAAAATGCCACAGCAAGAGTGTTTCAAATCTGCTCTCTCTAAAGCAAGGTTCAACTCTGTGAGTTGAATACACACAACACAAAAAAGTTACTGAGAACTCTTCTTAGTCTAGCATGAAAGGAAGAAACACCGTTTGCAACGAAGGCCTCAAAGAGGTCCAAATATCCACTTGCAGACATAACAAGCAGAGTGTTTCTAAAGTGCTCTAAGAAAAGAAAGGTTAAACTCTGTGAGTTGAAGGCACACATCACAAAGTAGTTTCTGAGAATGATTCTGTCTAGTTTTTATTTGAAGATATTTCCTTTTCTACTGTTGGCATCAAATCGCTTGAAATCTCCACTTGCAAACTCCACAAAAAGAGTGTTTCAAATCTGCTCTGTGCAAAGGGACGTTCCACTCTGTGAGTTGAATACACACAGCACAAAGAAGTTACTGAGAATTCTTCTGTCTAGCATGAAATGAAGAAATCCCGTTTCCAACGAAGGCCTCAATGCGGTCCATATATCCACTTGCAGACTTTACAAACAGAGTGTTTCCAAACTGCTCTATGAAAAGAAAGGTTAAACTATGTGAGTTGAACGCACACATCACAAAGAATTTTCTGAGAATGATTCTGTCTGGTTTTTATTTGAAGATATTTCCCTTTCTACTGTTGGCATCAAATGGCTAGAAATCTCCACTTGCAAATTCCGCAAAAAGAGTGTTTCAAATCTGCTCTGTCTAAAGGGACGTTCCACTCTGTGAGTTGAATGCACACAACACAAAGAATTTACTGAGAATTCTTCCGTCTAGCATTCAATGAAGAAATCCCGTTTCCAACGAAGGCCTCAAACAGGTCCATATATCCACTTGCAGACTTTACAAACAGTGTGTTTCCAAACTCCTCTATGAAAAGAAAGGTTAAACTCTGTGAGTGGAACGCACACATCACAAAGCACTTTCTGAGAATGATTCTGTCTGGTTATTATACGAAGATATTTCCTTTTCTGCAATTGTCCTCAAAACGCTTGAAATCTCCACCTGAAAATGCCACAGCAAGAGTGTTTCAAATCTGCTCTCTCTAAAGCAAGGTTCAACTCTGTGAGTTGAATACACACAACACAAAAAAGTTACTGAGAACTCTTCTTAGTCTAGCATGAAAGGAAGAAACCCCGTTTGCAACGAAGGCCTCAAAGAGGTCCAAATATCCACTTGCAGACATAACAAGCAGAGTGTTTCTAAACTGCTCTAAGAAAAGAAAGGTTAAACTCTGTGAGTTGAAGGCACACATCACAAAGTAGTTTCTGAGAATGGTTCTGTCTAGTTTTTATTTGAAGATATTTCCTTTTCTACTGTTGGCATCAAATCGCTTGAAATCTCCACTTGCAAATTCCACAAAGAGAGTGTTTCAAATCTGCTCTGTGCAAACGGACGTTCCAGTCTGTGAGTTGAATACACACAGCACAGAGAAGTTACTGAGAATTCTTCTGTCTAGCATGAAATGAAGAAATCCCGTTTCCAACGAAGGCCTCAATGCGGTCCATATATCCACTTGCAGACTTTACAAACAGAGTGTTTCCAAACTGCTCTATGAAAAGAAAGGTTAAACTATGTGAGTTGAACGCACACATCACAAAGAATTTTCTGAGAATGATTCTGTCTGGTTTTTATTTGAAGATATTTCCCTTTCTACTGTTGGCATCAAATGGCTAGAAATCTCCACTTGCAAATTCCGCAAAAAGAGTGTTTCAAATCTGCTCTGTCTAAAGGGACGTTCCACTCTGTGAGTTGAATGCACACAACACAAAGAATTTACTGAGAATTCTTCCGTCTAGCATTCAATGAAGAAATCCCGTTTCCAAAGAAGGCCTCAAACAGGTCCATATATCCAATTGCAGACTTTACAAACAGTGTGTTTCCAAACTCCTCTATGAAAAGAAAGGTTAAACTCTGTGAGTTGAACGCACACATCACAAAGCACTTTCTGAGAATGATTCTGTCTGGTTATTATACGAAGATATTTCCTTTTCTGCAATTGTCCTCAAATCGCTTGAAATCTCCACCTGAAAATGCCACAGCAAGAGTGTTTCAAATCTGCTCTCTCTAAAGCAAGGTTCAACTCTGTGAGTTGAATACACACAACACAAAAAAGTTACTGAGAACTCTTCTTAGTCTAGCATGAAAGGAAGAAACCCCGTTTGCAACGAAGGCCTCAAAGAGGTCCAAATATCCACTTGCAGACATAACAAGCAGAGTGTTTCTAAACTGCTCTAAGAAAAGAAAGGTTAAACTCTGTGAGTTGAAGGCACACATCACAAAGTAGTTTCTGAGAATGATTCTGTCTAGTTTTTATTTGAAGATATTTCCTTTTCTACTGTTGGCATCAAATCGCTTGAAATCTCCACTTGCAAACTCCACAAAAAGAGTGTTTCAAATCTGCTCTGTGCAAAGGGACGTTCCACTCTGTGAGTTGAATACACACAGCACAAAGAAGTTACTGAGAATTCTTCTGTCTAGCATGAAATGAAGAAATCCCGTTTCCAACGAAGGCCTCAATGCGGTCCATATATCCACTTGCAGACTTTACAAACAGAGTGTTTCCAAACTGCTCTATGAAAAGAAAGGTTAAACTATGTGAGTTGAACGCACACATCACAAAGAATTTTCTGAGAATGATTCTGTCTGGTTTTTATTTGAAGATATTTCCCTTTCTACTGTTGGCATCAAATGGCTAGAAATCTCCACTTGCAAATTCCGCAAAAAGAGTGTTTCAAATCTGCTCTGTCTAAAGGGACGTTCCACTCTGTGAGTTGAATGCACACAACACAAAGAATTTACTGAGAATTCTTCCGTCTAGCATTCAATGAAGAAATCCCGTTTCCAACGAAGGCCTCAAAGAGGTCCATATATCCACTTGCAGAGTTTACAAACAGTGTGTTTCCAAACTCCTCTATGAAAAGAAAGGTTAAACTCTGTGAGTGGAACGCACACATCACAAAGCACTTTCTGAGAATGATTCTGTCTGGTTATTATACGAAGATATTTCCTTTTCTGCAATTGTCCTCAAAACGCTTGAAATCTCCACCTGAAAATGCCACAGCAAGAGTGTTTCAAATCTGCTCTCTCTAAAGCAAGGTTCAACTGTGTGAGTTGAATACACACAACACAGAAAAGTTACTGAGAACTCTTCTTAGTCTAGCATGAAAGGAAGAAACCCCGTTTGCAACGAAGGCCTCAAAGAAGGTCCAAATATCCACTTGCAGACATAACAAGCAGAGTGTTTCTAAACTGCTCTAAGAAAAGAAAGGTTAAACTCTGTGAGTTGAAGGCACACATAACAAAGCAGTTTCTGAGAATGATTCTGTCTAGTTTTTATTTGAAGATATTTCCTTTTCTACTGTTGGCATCAAATCGCTTGAAATCTCCACTTGCAAACTCCACAAAAAGAGTGTTTCAAATCTGCTCTGTGTAAAGGGACGTTCCACTCTGTGAGTTGAATACACACAGCACAAAGAAGTTACTGAGAATTCTTCTGTCTAGCATGAAATGAAGAAATCCCGTTTCCAACGAAGGCCTCAAAGCGGTCCATATATCCACTTGCAGACATTACCAACAGAGTGTTCCCAAACTGCTCTATGAAAAGAAAGGTTAAACTATGTGAGTTGAACGCACACATCACAAAGAATTTTCTGAGAATGATTCTGTCTGGTTTTTATTTGAAGATATTTCCCTTTCTACTGTTGGCATCAAATGGCTAGAAATCTCCACTTGCAAATTCCGCAAAAAGAGTGTTTCAAATCTGCTCTGTCTAAAGGGACGTTCCACTCTGTGAGTTGAATGCACACAACACAAAGAATTTACTGAGAATTCTTCCGTCTAGCATTCAATGAAGAAATCCCGTTTCCAACGAAGGCCTCAAACAGGTCCATATATCCAATTGCAGACTTTACAAACAGTGTGTTTCCAAACTCCTTTATGAAAAGAAAGGTTAACTCTGTGAGTTGAATGCACACATCACAAAGCACTTTCTGATAATGATTCTGTCTGGTTTTTGTTTGCAGATATTTCCTTTTCTACTGTTGGCATCAAATCGCTTGAAATCTCCACTTGCAAATTCCACAAAAAGAGTGTTTCAAATCTGCTCTGTGTAAAGGGACGTTCCAATCTGTGAGTTGAATACACACAACACAAAGAAGTTACTGAGAATTCTTCTGTCTAGCATGAAATGAAGAAATCCCGTTTCCAACGAAGGCTTCAAAGCGGTCCATATATCCACTTGCAGACATTACCAACAGAGTGTTCCCAAACTGCTCTATGAAAAGAAAGGTTAAACCTTGTGAGTTGAACGCACACATCACAAAGAATTTTCTGAGAATGATTTCTGTCTGGTTTTTATTTGAAGATATTTCCCTTTCTACTGTTGGCATCAAATGGCTAGAAATCTCCACTTGCAAATTCCGCAAAAAGAGTGTTTCAAATCTGCTCTGTCTAAAGGGACGTTCCACTCTGTGAGTTGAATGCACACAACACAAAGAATTTACTGAGAATTCTTCCGCCTAGCATTCAATGAAGAAATCCCGTTTCCAACGAAGGCCTCAAACAGGTCCATATATCCAATTGCAGACTTTACAAACAGTGTGTTTCCAAACTCCTCTATGAAAAGAAAGGTTAAACTCTGTGAGTTGAACGCACACATCACAAAGCACTTTCTGAGAATGATTCTGTCTGGTTGTTATACGAAGATATTTCCTTTTCTGCAATTGTCCTCAAATCGCTTGAAATCTCCACCTGAAAATGCCACAGCAAGAGTGTTTCAAATCTGCTCTCTCTAAAGCAAGGTTCAACTCTGTGAGTTGAATACACACAACACAAAAAAGTTACTGAGAACTCTTCTTAGTCTAGCATGAAAAGAAGAAACCCCGTTTGCAACGAAGGCCTCAAAGAGGTCCAAATATCCACTTGCAGACATAACAAGCAGAGTGTTTCTAAACTGCTCTAAGAAAAGAAAGGTTAAACTCTGTGAGTTGAAGGCACACATCACAAAGTAGTTTCTGAGAATGATTCTGTCTAGTTTTTATTTGAAGATATTTCCTTTTCTACTGTTGGCATCAAATCGCTTGAAATCTCCACTTGCAAATTCCACAAAAAGAGTGTTTCAAATCTGCTCTGTGCAAAGGGACGTTCCACTCTGTGAGTTGAATACACACAGCACAAAGAAGTTACTGAGAATTCTTCTGTCTAGCATGAAATGAAGAAATCCCGTTTCCAACGAAGGCCTCAATGCGGTCCATATATCCACTTGCAGACTTTACAAACAGAGTGTTTCCAAACTGCTCTATGAAAAGAAAGGTTAAACTATGTGAGTTGAACGCACACATCACAAAGAATTTTCTGAGAATGATTCTGTCTGGTTTTTATTTGAAGATATTTCCCTTTCTACTGTTGGCATCAAACGGCTAGAAATCTCCACTTGCAAATTCCGCAAAAAGAGTGTTTCAAATCTGCTCTGTCTAAAGGGACGTTCCACTCTGTGAGTTGAATGCACACAACACAAAGAATTTACTGAGAATTCTTCCGTCTAGCATTCAATGAAGAAATCCCGTTTCCAACGAAGGCCTCAAACAGGTCCATATATCCACTTGCAGACTTTACAAACAGTGTGTTTCCAAACTCCTCTATGAAAAGAAAGGTTAAACTCTGTGAGTGGAACGCACACATCACAAAGCACTTTCTGAGAATGATTCTGTCTGGTTATTATACGAAGATATTTCCTTTTCTGCAATTGTCCTCAAATCGCTTGAAATCTCCACCTGAAAATGCCACAGCAAGAGTGTTTCAAATCTGCTCTCTCTAAAGCAAGGTTCAACTCTGTGAGTTGAACACACACAACACAAAAAAGTTACTGAGAACTCTTCTTAGTCTAGCATGAAAGGAAGAAACGCCGTTTGCAACGAAGGCCTCAAAGAGGTCCAAATATCCACTTGCAGACATAACAAGCAGAGTGTTTCTAAACTGCTCTAAGAAAAGAAAGGTTAAACACTGTGAGTTGAAGGCACACATCACAAAGTAGTTTCTGAGAATGATTCTGTCTAGTTTTTATTTGAAGATATTTCCTTTTCTACTGTTGGCATCAAATCGCTTGAAATCTCCACTTGCAAACTCCACAAAAAGAGTGTTTCAAATCTGCTCTGTGCAAAGGGACGTTCCACTCTGTGAGTTGAATACACACAGCACAAAGAAGTTACTGAGAATTCTTCTGTCTAGCATGAAATGAAGAAATCCCGTTTCCAACGAAGGCCTCAATGCGGTCCATATATCCACTTGCAGACTTTACAAACAGAGTGTTTCCAAACTGCTCTATGAAAAGAAAGGTTAAACTATGTGAGTTGAACGCACACATCACAAAGAATTTTCTGAGAATGATTCTGTCTGGTTTTTATTTGAAGATATTTCCCTTTCTACTGTTGGCATCAAATGGCTAGAAATCTCCACTTGCAAATTCCGCAAAAAGAGTGTTTCAAATCTGCTCTGTCTAAAGGGACGTTCCACTCTGTGAGTTGAATGCACACAACACAAAGAATTTACTGAGAATTCTTCCGTCTAGCATTATATGATAAAATCCCGTTTCCAACGAAGGCCTCAGACAGGTCCATATATCCAATTGCAGACTTTACAAACAGTGTGTTTCCAAACTCCTCTATGAAAGGAAAGGTTAAACTCTGTGAGTTGAACGCACACATCACAAAGCACTTTCTGAGAATGATTCTGTCTGGTTATTATACGAAGATATTTCCTTTTCTGCAATTGTCCTCAAATCGCTTGAAATCTCCACCTGAAAATGCCACAGCAAGAGTGTTTCAAATCTGCTCTCTCTAAAGCAAGGTTCAACTCTGTGAGTTGAATACACACAACACAAAAAAGTTACTGAGAACTCTTCTTAGTCTAGCATGAAAGGAAGAAACCCCGTTTGCAACGAAGGCCTCAAAGAGGTCCAAATATCCACTTGCAGACATAACAAGCAGAGTGTTTCTAAACTGCTCTAAGAAAAGAAAGGTTAAACTCTGTGAGTTGAAGGCACACATCACAAAGTAGTTTCTGAGAATGATTCTGTCTAGTTTTTATTTGAAGATATTTCCTTTTCTACTGTTGGCATCAAATCGCTTGAAATCTCCACTTGCAAATTCCACAAAAAGAGTGTTTCAAATCTGCTCTGTGCAAAGGGACGTTCCACTCTGTGAGTTGAATACACACAGCACAAAGAAGTTACTGAGAATTCTTCTGTCTAGCATGAAATGAAGAAATCCCGTTTCCAACGAAGGCCTCAATGCGGTCCATATATCCACTTGCAGACTTTACAAACAGAGTGTTTCCAAACTGCTCTATGAAAAGAAAGGTTAAACTATGTGAGTTGAACGCACACATCACAAAGAATTTTCTGAGAATGATTCTGTCTGGTTTTTATTTGAAGATATTTCCCTTTCCACTGTTGGCATCAAATGGCTAGAAATCTCCACTTGCAAATTCCGCAAAAAGAGTGTTTCAAATCTGATCTGTCTAAAGGGACGTTCCACTCTGTGAGTTGAATGCACACAACACAAAGAATTTACTGAGAATTCTCCGTCTAGCATTCAATGAAGAAATCCCGTTTCCAACGAAGGCCTCAAACAGGTCCATATATCCACTTGCAGACTTTACAAACAGTGTGTTTCCAAACTCCTCTATGAAAAGAAAGGTTAAACTCTGTGAGTGGAACGCACACATCACAAAGCACTTTCTGAGAATGATTCTGTCTGGTTATTATACGAAGATATTTCCTTTTCTGCAATTGTCCTCAAATCGCTTGAAATCTCCACCTGAAAATGCCACAGCAAGAGTGTTTCAAATCTGCTCTCTCTAAAGCAAGGTTCAACTCTGTGAGTTGAATACACACAGCACAAAGAAGTTACTGAGAATTCTTCTGTCTAGCATGAAATGAAGAAATCCCGTTTCCAACGAAGGCCTCAATGCGGTCCATATATCCACTTGCAGACTTTACAAACAGAGTGTTTCCAAACTGCTCTATGAAAAGAAAGGTTAAACTATGTGAGTTGAACGCACACATCACAAAGAATTTTCTGAGAATGATTCTGTCTGGTTTTTATTTGAAGATATTTCCCTTTCTACTGTTGGCATCAAATGGCTAGAAATCTCCACTTGCAAATTCCGCAAAAAGAGTGTTTCAAATCTGCTCTGTCTAAAGGGACGTTCCACTCTGTGAGTTGAATGCACACAACACAAAGAATTTACTGAGAATTCTTCCGTCTAGCAATCAATGAAGAAATCCCGTTTCCAACGAAGGCCTCAAACAGGTCCATATATCCAATTGCAGACTTTACAAACAGTGTGTTTCCAAACTCCTCTATGAAAAGAAAGGTTAAACTCTGTGAGTTCAACGCACACATCACAAAGCACTTTCTGAGAATGATTCTGTCTGGTTGTTATACGAAGATATTTCCTTTTCTGCAATTGTCCTCAAATCGCTTGAAATCTCCACCTGAAAATGCCACAGCAAGAGTGTTTCAAATCTGCTCTCTCTAAAGCAAGGTTCAACTCTGTGAGTTGAATACACACAACACAAAAAAGTTACTGAGAACTCTTCTTAGTCTAGCATGAAAGGAAGAAACCCCGTTTGCAACGAAGGCCTCAAAGAGGTCCAAATATCCACTTGCAGACATAACAAGCAGAGTGTTTCTAAACTGCTCTAAGAAAAGAAAGGTTAAACTCTGTGAGTTGAAGGCACACATCACAAAGTAGTTTCTGAGAATGATTCTGTCTAGTTTTTATTTGAAGATATTTCCTTTTCTACTGTTGGCATCAAATCGCTTGAAATCTCCACTTGCAAACTCCACAAAAAGAGTGTTTCAAATCTGCTCTGTGCAAAGGGACGTTCCACTCTGTGAGTTGAATACACACAGCACAAAGAAGTTACTGAGAATTCTTCTGTCTAGCATGAAATGAAGAAATCCCGTTTCCAACGAAGGCCTCAATGCGGTCCATATATCCACTTGCAGACTTTACAAACAGAGTGTTTCCAAACTGCTCTATGAAAAGAAAGGTTAAACTATGTGAGTTGAACGCACACATCACAAAGAATTTTCTGAGAATGATTCTGTCTGGTTTTTATTTGAAGATATTTCCCTTTCTACTGTTGGCATCAAATGGCTAGAAATCTCCACTTTCAAATTCCGCAAAAAGAGTGTTTCAAATCTGCTCTGTCTAAAGGGACGTTCCACTCTGTGAGTTGAATGCACACAACACAAAGAATTTACTGAGAATTCTTCCGTCTAGCAGTCAATGAAGAAATCCCGTTTCCAACGAAGGCCTCAAACAGGTCCGTATATCCAATTGCAGACTTTACAAACAGTGTGTTTCCAAACTCCTCTATGAAAAGAAAGGTTAAACTCTGTGAGTTGAACGCACACATCACAAAGCACTCTCTGAGAATGATTCTGTCTGGTTGTTATAGGAAGATATTTCCTTTTCTGCAATTGTCCTCAAATCGCTTGAAATCTCCACCTGAAAATGCCACAGCAAGAGTGTTTCAAATCTGCTCTCTCTAAAGCAAGGTTCAACTCTGTGAGTTGAATACACACAACACAAAAAAGTTACTGAGAACTCTTCTTAGTCTAGCATTAAAGGAAGAAACCCCGTTTGCAACGAAGGCCTCAAAGAGGTCCAAATATCCACTTGCAGACATAACAAGCAGAGTGTTTCTAAACTGCTCTAAGAAAAGAAAGGTTAAACTCTGTGAGTTGAAGGCACACATCACAAAGTAGTTTCTGAGAATGATTCTGTCTAGTTTTTATTTGAAGATATTTCCTTTTCTACTGTTGGCATCAAATCGCTTGAAATCTCCACTTGCAAATTCCACAAAAAGAGTGTTTCAAATCTGCTCTGTGCAAAGGGACGTTCCACTCTGTGAGTTGAATACACACAGCACAAAGAAGTTACTGAGAATTCTTCTGTCTAGCATGAAATGAAGAAATCCCGTTTCCAACGAAGGCCTCAATGCGGTCCATATATCCACTTGCAGACTTTACAAACAGAGTGTTTCCAAACTGCTCTATGAAAAGAAAGGTTAAACTATGTGAGTTGAACGCACACATCACAAAGAATTTTCTGAGAATGATTCTGTCTGGTTTTTATTTGAAGATATCTCCCTTTCTACTGTTGGCATCAAATGGCTAGAAATCTCCACTTGCAAATTCCGCAAAAAGAGTGTTTCAAATCTGATCTGTCTAAAGAGACGTTCCACTCTGTCAGTTGAATGCACACAACACAAAGAATTTACTGAGAATTCTTCCGTCTAGCATTCAATGAAGAAATCCCGTTTCCGACGAAGGCCTCAAACAGGTCCATATATCCAATTGCAGACTTTACAAACAGTGTGTTTCCAAACTCCTCTATGAAAAGAAAGGTTAAACTCTGTGAGTTGAACGCACACATCACAAAGCACTTTCTGAGAATGATTCTGTCTGGTTGTTATACGAAGATATTTCCTTTTCTGCAATTGTCCTCAAATCGCTTGAAATCTCCACCTGAAAATGCCACAGCAAGAGTGTTTCAAATCTGCTCTCTCTAAAGCAAGGTTCAGCTCTGTGAGTTGAATACACACAACACAAAAAAGTTACTGAGAACTCTTCTTAGTCTAGCATGAAAGGAAGAAACCCCGTTTGCAACGAAGGCCTCAAAGAGGTCCAAATATCCACTTGCAGACATAACAAGCAGAGTGTTTCTAAACTGCTCTAAGAAAAGAAAGGTTAAACTCTGTGAGTTGAAGGCACACATCACAAAGTAGTTTCTGAGAATGATTCTGTCTAGTTTTTATTTGAAGATATTTCCTTTTCTACTGTTGGCATCAAATCGCTTGAAATCTCCACTTGCAAATTCCACAAAAAGAGTGTTTCAAATCTGCTCTGTGCAAAGGGACGTTCCACTCTGTGAGTTGAATACGCACAGCACAAAGAAGTTACTGAGAATTCTTCTGTCTAGCATGAAATGAAGAAATCCCGTTTCCAACGAAGGCCTCAATGCGGTCCATATATCCACTTGCAGACTTTACAAACAGAGTGTTTCCAAACTGCTCTATGAAAAGAAAGGTTAAACTATGTGAGTTGAACGCACACATCACAAAGAATTTTCTGAGAATGATTCTGTCTGGTTTTTATTTGAAGATATTTCCCTTTCTACTGTTGGCATCAAATGGCTAGAAATCTCCACTTGCAAATTCCGCAAAAAGAGTGTTTCAAATCTGCTCTGTCTAAAGGGACAGTTCCACTCTGTCAGTTGAATGCACACAACACAAAGAATTTACTGAGAATTCTTCCGTCTAGCATTCAATGAAGAAATCCCGTTTCCAACGAAGGCCTCAAACAGGTCCATATATCCACTTGCAGACTTTACAAACAGTGTGTTTCCAAACTCCTCTATGAAAAGAAAGGTTAAACTCTGTGAGTTGAACGCACACATCACAAAGCACTTTCTGAGAATGATTCTGTCTGGTTATTATACGAAGATATTTCCTTTTCTGCAATTGTCCTCAAATCGCTTGAAATCTCCACCTGAAAATGCCACAGCAAGAGTGTTTCAAATCTGCTCTCTCTAAAGCAAGGTTCAACTCTGTGAGTTGAATACACACAACACAAAAAAGTTACTGAGAACTCTTCTTAGTCTAGCATGAAAGGAAGAAACCCCGTTTGCAACGAAGGCCTCAAAGAGGTCCAAATATCCACTTGCAGACATAACAAGCAGAGTGTTTCTAAACTGCTCTAAGAAAAGAAAGGTTAAACTCTGTGAGTTGAAGGCACACATCACAAAGTAGTTTCTGAGAATGATTCTGTCTAGTTTTTATTTGAAGATATTTCCTTTTCTACTGCTGGCATCAAATCGCTTGAAATCTCCACTTGCAAATTCCACAAAAGGAGTGTTTCAAATCTGCTCTGTCTAAAGGGACGTTCCACTCTGTGAGTTGAATACACACAACACAAAGAAGTTACTGAGAATTCTTCTGTCTAGCATGAAATGAAGAAACCCCGTTTCCAACAAAGGCCTCAAAGCGGTCCATATATCTACTTGCAGACTTTACAAACAGAGTGTTTCCAAACTGCTCTATGAAAAGAAAGGTTAAACTATGTGAGTTGAACGCACACATCACAAAGAATTTTCTGAGAATGATTCTGTCTGGTTTTTATTTGAAGATATTTCCCTTTCTACTGTTGGCATCAAATGGCTTGAAATCTCCACTTCCAAATTTCGCAAAAAGAGTGTTTCAAATCTGCTCTGTCTAATGGGACCGTTCCACTCGGTGAGTTGAATGCACACAACACAAAGAATTTACTGAGAATTCTTCTGTCTAGCATTCAATGAAGAAATCCCGTTTCCAACGAATGCCTCAAACACGTCCATATATCCACTTGCAGACTTTACAAACAGTGTGTTTCCAAACTCCTCTATGAAAAGAAAGGTTAAACTCTGTGAGGTGAACGCACACATCACAAAGCACTTTCTGAGAATGATTCTGTCTGTTTATTATACGAAGATATTTCCTTTTCTGCAATTGTCCTCAAATCGCTTGAAATCTCCACCTGAAAATGCCACAGCAAGAGTGTTTCAAATCTGCTCTCTCTAAAGCAAGGTTCAACTCTGTGAGGTTGAATACACACAACACAAAAAAGTTACTGAGAACTCTTCTTAGTCTAGCATTAAAGGAAGAAACCCCGTTTGCAACGAAGGCCTCAAAGAGGTCCAAATATCCACTTGCAGACATAACAAGCAGAGTGTTTCTAAACTGCTCTAAGAAAAGAAAGGTTAAACTCTGTGAGTTGAAGGCACACATCAAAAAGTAGTTTCTGAGAATGATTCTGTCTAGTTTTTATTTGAAGATATTTCCTTTTCTACTGTTGGCATCAAATCGCTTGAAATCTCCACTTGCAAATTCCACAAAAAGAGTGTTTCAAATCTGCTCTGTGCAAAGGGACGTTCCACTCTGTGAGTTGAATACACACAGCACAAAGAAGTTACTGAGAATTCTTCTGTCTAGCATGAAATGAAGAAATCCCGTTTCCAACGAAGGCCTCAATGCGGTCCATATATCCACTTGCAGACTTTACAAACAGAGTGTTTCCAAACTGCTCTATGAAAAGAAAGGTTAAACTATGTGAGTTGAACGCACACATCACAAAGAATTTTCTGAGAATGATTCTGTCTGGTTTTTATTTGAAGATATTTCCCTTTCTACTGTTGGCATCAAATGGCTAGAAATCTCCACTTGCAAATTCCGCAAAAAGAGTGTTTCAAATCTGCTCTGTCTAAAGGGACGTTCCACTCTGTGAGTTGAATGCACACAACACAAAGAATTTACTGAGAATTCTTCCGTCTAGCATGCAATGAAGAAATCCCGTTTCCAACGAAGGCCTCAAACAGGTCCATATATCCAATTGCAGACTTTACAAACAGTGTGTTTCCAAACTCCTCTATGAAAAGAAAGGTTAAACTCTGTGAGTTGAACGCACACATCACAAAGCACTTTCTGAGAATGATTCTGTCTGGTTATTATACGAAGATATTTCCTTTTCTGCAATTGTCCTCAAAACGCTTGAAATCTCCACCTGAAAATGCCACAGCAAGAGTGTTTCAAATCTGCTCTCTCTAAAGCAAGGTTCAACTCTGTGAGTTGAATACACACAACACAAAAAAGTTACTGAGAACTCTTCTTAGTCTAGCATGAAAGGAAGAAACCCCGTTTGCAACGAAGGCCTCAAAGAGGTCCAAATATCCACTTGCAGACATAACAAGCAGAGTGTTTCTAAACTGCTCTAAGAAAAGAAAGGTTAAACTCTGTGAGTTGAAGGCACACATCACAAAGTAGTTTCTGAGAATGATTCTGTCTAGTTTTTATTTGAAGATATTTCCTTTTCTACTGTTGGCATCAAATCGCTTGAAATCTCCACTTGCAAACTCCACAAAAAGAGTGTTTCAAATCTGCTCTGTGCAAAGGGACGTTCCACTCTGTGAGTTGAATACACACAGCACAAAGAAGTTACTGAGAATTCTTCTGTCTAGCATGAAATGAAGAAATCCCGTTTCCAACGAAGGCCTCAATGCGGTCCATATATCCACTTGCAGACTTTACAAACAGAGTGTTTCCAAACTGCTCTATGAAAAGAAAGGTTAAACTATGTGAGTTGAACGCACACATCACAAAGAATTTTCTGAGAATGATTCTGTCTGGTTTTTATTTGAAGATATTTCCCTTTCTACTGTTGGCATCAAATGGCTAGAAATCTCCACTTGCAAATTCCGCAAAAAGAGTGTTTCAAATCTGCTCTGTCTAAAGGGACGTTCCACTCTGTGAGTTGAATGCACACAACACAAAGAATTTACTGAGAATTCTTCCGTCTAGCATTCAATGAAGAAATCCCGTTTCCAACGAAGGCCTCAAACAGGTCCATATATCCAATTGCAGACTTTACAAACAGTGTGTTTCCAAACTCCTCTATGAAAAGAAAGGTTAAACTCTGTGAGTGGAACGCACACATCACAAAGCACTTTCTGAGAATGATTCTGTCTGGTTGTTATACGAAGATATTTCCTTTTCTGCAATTGTCCTCAAATCGCTTGAAATCTCCACCTGAAAATGTCACAGCAAGAGTGTTTCATATCTGCTCTCTCTAAAGCAAGGTTCAACTCTGTGAGTTGAATACACACAACACAGAAAAGTTACTGAGAACTCTTCTTAGTCTAGCATGAAAGGAAGAAACCCCGTTTGCAACGAAGGCCTCAAAGAGGTCCAAATATCCACTTGCAGACATAACAAGCAGAGTGTTTCTAAACTGCTCTAAGAAAAGAAAGGTTAAACTCTGTGAGTTGAAGGCACACATCACAAAGTAGTTTCTGAGAATGATTCTGTCTAGTTTTTATTTGAAGATATTTCCTTTTCTACTGTTGGCATCAAATCGCTTGAAATCTCCACTTGCAAACTCCACAAAAAGAGTGTTTCAAATCTGCTCTGTGTAAAGGGACGTTCCACTCTGTGAGTTGAATACACACAGCACAAAGAAGTTACTGAGAATTCTTCTGTCTAGCATGAAATGAAGAAATCCCGTTTCCAACGAAGGCCTCAATGCGGTCCATATATCCACTTGCAGACTTTACAAACAGAGTGTTTCCAAACTGCTCTATGAAAAGAAAGGTTAAACTATGTGAGTTGAACGCACACATCACAAAGAATTTTCTGAGAATGATTCTGTCTGGTTTTTATTTGAAGATATTTCCCTTTCTACTGTTGGCATCAAATGGCTAGAAATCTCCACTTGCAAATTCCGCAAAAAGAGTGTTTCAAATCTGCTCTGTCTAAAGGGACGTTCCACTCTGTGAGTTGAATGCACACAACACAAAGAATTTACTGAGAATTCTTCCGCCTAGCATTCAATGAAGAAATCCCGTTTCCAACGAAGGCCTCAAACAGGTCCATATATCCACTTGCAGACTTTACAAACAGTGTGTTTCCAAACTCCTCTATGAAAAGAAAGGTTAAACTCTGTGAGTGGAACGCACACATCACAAAGCACTTTCTGAGAATGATTCTGTCTGGTTGTTATACGAAGATATTTCCTTTTCTGCAATTGTCCTCAAATCGCTTGAAATCTCCACCTGAAAATGCCACAGCAAGAGTGTTTCAAATCTGCTCTCTCTAAAGCAAGGTTCAACTCTGTGAGTTGAATACACACAACACAAAAAAGTTACTGAGAACTCTTCTTAGTCTAGCATGAAAGGAAGAAACCCCGTTTGCAACGAAGGCCTCAAAGAGGTCCAAATATCCACTTGCAGACATAACAAGCAGAGTGTTTCTAAACTGCTCTAAGAAAAGAAAGGTTAAACTCTGTGAGTTGAAGGCACACATCACAAAGTAGTTTCTGAGAATGATTCTGTCTAGTTTTTATTTGAAGATATTTCCTTTTCTACTGTTGGCATCAAATCGCTTGAAATCTCCACTTGCAAACTCCACAAAAAGAGTGTTTCAAATCTGCTCTGTGCAAAGGGACGTTCCACTCTGTGAGTTGAATACACACAGCACAAAGAAGTTACTGAGAATTCTTCTGTCTAGCATGAAATGAAGAAATCCCGTTTCCAACGAAGGCCTCAATGCGGTCCATATATCCACTTGCAGACTTTACAAACAGAGTGTTTCCAAACTGCTCTATGAAAAGAAAGGTTAAACTATGTGAGTTGAACGCACACATCACAAAGAATTTTCTGAGAATGATTCTGTCTGCTTTTTATTTGAAGATATTTCCCTTTCTACTGTTGGCATCAAATGGCTAGAAATCTCCACTTGCAAATTCCGCCAAAAAGTGTTTCAAATCTGCTCTGTCTAAAGGGACGTTCCACTCTGTGAGTTGAATGCACACAACACAAAGAATTTACTGAGAATTCTTCAGTCTAGCATTCAATGAAGAAATCCCGTTTCCAACGAAGGCCTCAAACAGGTCCATATATCCAATTGCAGACTTTACAAACAGTGTGTTTCCAAACTCCTCTATGAAAAGAAAGGTTAAACTCTGTGAGTTGAACGCACACATCACAAAGCACTTTCTGAGAATGATTCTGTCTGGTTATTATACGAAGATATTTCCTTTTCTGCAATTGTCCTCAAATCGCTTGAAATCTCCACCTGAAAATGCCACAGCAAGAGTGTTTCAAATCTGCTCTCTCTAAAGCAAGGTTCAACTCTGTGAGTTGAATACACACAACACAAAAAAGTTACTGAGAACTCTTCTTAGTCTAGCATGAAAGGAAGAAACCCCGTTTGCAACGAAGGCCTCAAAGAGGTCCAAATATCCACTTGCAGACATAACAAGCAGAGTGTTTCTAAACTGCTCTAAGAAAAGAAAGGTTAAACTCTGTGAGTTGAAGGCACACATCACAAAGTAGTTTCTGAGAATGATTCTGTCTAGTTTTTATTTGAAGATATTTCCTTTTCCACTGTTGGCATCAAATCGCTTGAAATCTCCACTTGCAAACTCCACAAAAAGAGTGTTTCAAATCTGCTCTGTGTAAAGGGACGTTCCACTCTGTGAGTTGAATACACACAGCACAAAGAAGTTACTGAGAATTCTTCTGTCTAGCATGAAATGAAGAAATCCCGTTTCCAACGAAGGCCTCAATGCGGTCCATATATCCACTTGCAGACTTTACAAACAGAGTGTTTCCAAACTGCTCTATGAAAAGAAAGGTTAAACTATGTGAGTTGAACGCACACATCACAAAGAATTTTCTGAGAATGATTCTGTCTGGTTTTTATTTGAAGATATTTCCCTTTCTACTGTTGGCATCAAATGGCTAGAAATCTCCACTTGCAAATTCCGCAAAAAGAGTGTTTCAAATCTGCTCTCTCTAAAGGGACGTTCCACTCTGTGAGTTGAATGCACACAACACAAAGAATTTACTGAGAATTCTTCCGTCTAGCATTCAATGAAGAAATCCCGTTTCCAACGAAGGCCTCAAACAGGTCCATATATCCAATTGCAGACTTTACAAACAGTGTGTTTCCAAACTCCTCTATGAAAAGAAAGGTTAAACTCTGTGAGTTGAACGCACACATCACAAAGCACTTTCTGAGAATGATTCTGTCTGGTTATTATACGAAGATATTTCCTTTTCTGCAATTGTCCTCAAATCGCTTGAAATCTCCACCTGAAAATGCCACAGCAAGAGTGTTTCAAATCTGCTCTCTCTAAAGCAAGGTTCAACTCTGTGAGTTGAATACACACAACACAAAAAAGTTACTGAGAACTCTTCTTAGTCTAGCATGAAAGGAAGAAACCCCGTTTGCAACGAAGGCCTCAAAGAGGTCCAAATATCCACTTGCAGACATAACAAGCAGAGTGTTTCTAAACTGCTCTAAGAAAAGAAAGGTTAAACTCTGTGAGTTGAAGGCACACATCACAAAGTAGTTTCTGAGAATGATTCTGTCTAGTTTTTATTTGAAGATATTTCCTTTTCTACTGTTGGCATCAAATCGCTTGAAATCTCCACTTGCAAACTCCACAAAAAGAGTGTTTCAAATCTGCTCTGTGTAAAGGGACGTTCCACTCTGTGAGTTGAATACACACAGCACAAAGAAGTTACTGAGAATTCTTCTGTCTAGCATGAAATGAAGAAATCCCGTTTCCAACGAAGGCCTCAATGCGGTCCATATATCCACTTGCAGACTTTACAAACAGAGTGTTTCCAAACTGCTCTATGAAAAGAAAGGTTAAACTATGTGAGTTGAACGCACACATCACAAAGAATTTTCTGAGAATGATTCTGTCTGGTTTTTATTTGAAGATATTTCCCTTTCTACTGTTGGCATCAAATGGCTAGAAATCTCCACTTGCAAATTCCGCAAAAAGAGTGTTTCAAATCTGCTCTGTCTAAAGGGACAGTTCCACTCTGTCAGTTGAATGCACACAACACAAAGAATTTACTGAGAATTCTTCCGTCTAGCATGCAATGAAGAAATCCCGTTTCCAACGAAGGCCTCAAACAGGTCCATATATCCAATTGCAGACTTTACAAACAGTGTGTTTCCAAACTCCTCTATGAAAAGAAAGGTTAAACTCTGTGAGTTGAACGCACACATCACAAAGCACTTTCTGAGAATGATTCTGTCTGGTTGTTATACGAAGATATTTCCTTTTCTGCAATTGTCCTCAAATCGCTTGAAATCTCCACCTGAAAATGCCACAGCAAGAGTGTTTCAAATCTGCTCTCTCTAAAGCAAGGTTCAACTCTGTGAGTTGAATACACACAACACAAAAAAGTTACTGAGAACTCTTCTTAGTCTAGCATTAAAGGAAGAAACCCCGTTTGCAACGAAGGCCTCAAAGAGGTCCAAATACCCACTTGCAGACATAACAAGCAGAGTGTTTCTAAACTGCTCTAAGAAAAGAAAGGTTAAACTCTGTGAGTTTAAGGCACACATCACAAAGTAGTTTCTGAGAATGATTCTGTCTAGTTTTTATTTGAAGATATTTCCTTTTCTACTGTTGGCATCAAATCGCTTGAAATCTCCACTTGCAAATTCCACAAAAAGAGTGTTTCAAATCTGCTCTGTGCAAAGGGACGTTCCACTCTGTGAGTTGAATACACACAGCACAAAGAAGTTACTGAGAATTCTTCTGTCTAGCATGAAATGAAGAAATCCCGTTTCCAACGAAGGCCTCAATGCGGTCCATATATCCACTTGCAGACTTTACAAACAGAGTGTTTCCAAACTGCTCTATGAAAAGAAAGGTTAAACTATGTGAGTTGAACGCACACATCACAAAGAATTTTCTGAGAATGATTCTGTCTGGTTTTTATTTGAAGATATTTCCCTTTCTACTGTTGGCATCAAATGGCTAGAAATCTCCACTTGCAAATTCCGCAAAAAGAGTGTTTCAAATCTGCTCTGTCTAAAGGGACGTTCCACTCTGTGAGTTGAATGCACACAACACAAAGAATTTACTGAGAATTCTTCTGTCTAGCAGTCAATGAAGAAATCCCGTTTCCAACGAAGGCCTCAAACAGGTCCATATATCCAATTGCAGACTTTACAAACAGTGTGTTTCCAAACTCCTCTATGAAAAGAAAGGTTAAACTCTGTGAGTTGAACCCACACATCACAAAGCACTTTCTGAGAATGATTCTGTCTGGTTGTTATACGAAGATATTTCCTTTTCTGCAATTGTCCTCAAATCGCTTGAAATCTCCACCTGAAAATGCCACAGCAAGAGTGTTTCAAATCTGCTCTCTCTAAAGCAAGGTTCAACTCTGTGAGTTGAATACACACAACACAAAAAAGTTACTGAGAACTCTTCTTAGTCTAGCATGAAAGGAAGAAACCCCGTTTGCAACGAAGGCCTCAAAGAGGTCCAAATATCCACTTGCAGACATAACAAGCAGAGTGTTTCTAAACTGCTCTAAGAAAAGAAAGGTTAAACTATGTGAGTTGAACGCACACATCACAAAGAATTTTCTGAGAATGATTCTGTCTGGTTTTTATTTGAAGATATTTCCCTTTCTACTGTTGGCCATCAAATGGCTAGAAATCTCCACTTGCAAATTCCGCAAAAAGAGTGTTTCAAATCTGCTCTGTCTAAAGGGACGTTCCACTCTGTGAGTTGAATGCACACAACACAAAGAATTTACTGAGAATTCTTCCGTCTAGCATTCAATGAAGAAATCCCGTTTCCAACGAAGGCCTCAAACAGGTCCATATATCCACTTGCAGACTTTACAAACAGTGTGTTTCCAAACTCCTCTATGAAAAGAAAGGTTAAACTCTGTGAGTGGAACGCACACATCACAAAGCACTTTCTGAGAATGATTCTGTCTGGTTATTATACGAAGATATTTCCTTTTCTGCAATTGTCCTCAAATCGCTTGAAATCTCCACCTGAAAATGCCACAGCAAGAGTGTTTCAAATCTGCTCTCTCTAAAGCAAGGTTCAACTCTGTGAGTTGAATACACACAACACAAAAAAGTTACTGAGAACTCTTCTTAGTCTAGCATGAAAGGAAGAAACCCCGTTTGCAACGAAGGCCTCAAAGAGGTCCAAATATCCACTTGCAGACATAACAAGCAGAGTGTTTCTAAACTGCTCTAAGAAAAGAAAGGTTAAACTCTGTGAGTTGAAGGCACACATCACAAAGCAGTTTCTGAGAATGATTCTGTCTAGTTTTTATTTGAAGATATTTCCTTTTCTACTGTTGGCATCAAATCGCTTGAAATCTCCACTTGCAAACTCCACAAAAAGAGTGTTTCAAATCTGCTCTGTGTAAAGGGACGTTCCACTCTGTGAGTTGAATACACACAGCACAAAGAAGTTACTGAGAATTCTTCTGTCTAGCATGAAATGAAGAAATCCCGTTTCCAACGAAGGCCTCAAAGCGGTCCATATATCCACTTGCAGACATTACCAACAGAGTGTTCCCAAACTGCTCTATGAAAAGAAAGGTTAAACTATGTGAGTTGAACGCACACATCACAAAGAATTTTCTGAGAATGATTCTGTCTGGTTTTTATTTGAAGATATTTCCCTTTCTACTGTTGGCATCAAATGGCTAGAAATCTCCACTTGCAAATTCCGCAAAAAGAGTGTTTCAAATCTGCTGTGTCTAAAGGGACGTTCCACTCTGTGAGTTGAATGCACACAACACAAAGAATTTACTGAGAATTCTTCCGTCTAGCATTCAATGAAGAAATCCCGTTTCCAACGAAGGCCTCAAACAGGTCCATATATCCACTTGCAGACTTTACAAACAGTGTGTTTCCAAACTCCTCTATGAAAAGAAAGGTTAAACTCTGTGAGTTGAACGCACACATCACAAAGCACTTTCTGAGAATGATTCTGTCTGGTTATTATACGAAGATATTTCCTTTTCTGCAATTGTCCTCAAATCGCTTGAAATCTCCACCTGAAAATGCCACAGCAAGAGTGTTTCAAATCTGCTCTCTCTAAAGCAAGGTTCAACTCTGTGAGTTGAATACACACAACACAAAAAAGTTACTGAGAACTCTTCTTAGTCTAGCATGAAAGGAAGAAACCCCGTTTGCAACGAAGGCCTCAAAGAGGTCCAAATATCCACTTGCAGACATAACAAGCAGAGTGTTTCTAAACTGCTCTAAGAAAAGAAAGGTTAAACTCTGTGAGTTGAAGGCACACATCACAAAGTAGTTTTTTAGAATGATTCTGTCTAGTTTTTATTTGAAGATATTTCCTTTTCTACTGTTGGCATCAAATCGCTTGAAATCTCCACTTGCAAACTCCACAAAAAGAGTGTT
Organism: Homo sapiens; assembly: GCF_000001405.40. Taxonomy (NCBI): domain Eukaryota; kingdom Metazoa; phylum Chordata; class Mammalia; order Primates; family Hominidae; genus Homo; species Homo sapiens. Next base: position 58,306,053 of record NC_000007.14, on the reverse strand, counting down.
TCAAATCCGCTCTGTGCAAAGGGACGTTCCACTCTGTGAGTTGAATACACACAGCACAAAGAAGTTACTGAGAATTCTTCTGTCTAGCATGAAATGAAGAAATCCCGTTTCCAACGAAGGCCTCAATGCGGTCCATATATCCACTTGCAGACTTTACAAACAGAGTGTTTCCAAACTGCTCTATGAAAAGAAAGGTTAAACTATGTGAGTTGAACGCACACATCACAAAGAATTTTCTGAGAATGATTCTGCCTGGTTTTTATTTGAAGTATATTTCCCTTTCTACTGTTGGCATCAAATGGCTAGAAATCTCCACTTGCAAATTCCGCAAAAAGAGTGTTTCAAATCTGCTCTGTCTAAAGGGACGTTCCACTCTGTGAGTTGAATGCACACAACACAAAGAATTTACTGAGAATTCTTCCGTCTAGCATTCAATGAAGAAATCCCGTTTCCAACGAAGGCCTCAAACAGGTCCATATATCCACTTGCAGACTTTACAAACAGTGTGTTTCCAAACTCCTCTATGAAAAGAAAGGTTAAACTCTGTGAGTGGAACGCACACATCACAAAGCACTTTCTGAGAATGATTCTGTCTGGTTATTATACGAAGATATTTCCTTTTCTGCAATTGTCCTCAAATCGCTTGAAATCTCCACCTGAAAATGCCACAGCAAGAGTGTTTCAAATCTGCTCTCTCTAAAGCAAGGTTCAACTCTGTGAGTTGAATACACACAACACAAAAAAGTTACTGAGAACTCTTGCTTAGTCTAGCATTAAATGAAGAATCCCCGTTTGCAACGAAGGCCTCAAAGAGGTCCAAATATCCACTTGCAGACATAACAAGCAGAGTGTTTCTAAACTGCTCTAAGAAAAGAAAGGTTAAACTCTGTGAGTTGAAGGCACACATCACAAAGTAGTTTCTGAGAATGATTCTGTCTAGTTTTTATTTGAAGATATTTCCTTTTCTACTGTTGGCATCAAATCGCTTGAAATCTCCACTTGCAAACTCCACAAAAAGAGTGTTTCAAATCTGCTCTGTGTAAAGGGACGTTCCACTCTGTGAGTTGAATACACACAGCACAAAGAAGTTACTGAGAATTCTTCTGTCTAGCATGAAATGAAGAAATCCCGTTTCCAACGAAGGCCTCAATGCGGTCCATATATCCACTTGCAGACTTTACAAACAGAGTGTTTCCAAACTGCTCTATGAAAAGAAAGGTTAAACTATGTGAGTTGAACGCACACATCACAAAGAATTTTCTGAGAATGATTCTGTCTGGTTTTTATTTGAAGATATTTCCCTTTCTACTGTTGGCATCAAATGGCTAGAAATCTCCACTTGCAAATTCCGCAAAAAGAGTGTTTCAAATCTGCTCTGTCTAAAGGGACGTTCCACTCTGTCAGTTGAATGCACACAACACAAAGAATTTACTGAGAATTCTTCCGTCTAGCATTCAATGAAGAAATCCCGTTTCCAATGAAGGCCTCAAACAGGTCCATATATCCAATTGCAGACTTTACAAACAGTGTGTTTCCAAACTCCTTTATGAAAAGAAAGGTTAAACTCTGTGAGTTGAACGCACACATCACAAAGCACTTTCTGAGAATGATTCTGTCTAGTTTTTATTTGAAGATATTTCCCTTTGTACTGTTGGCATCAAATGGCTAGAAATCTCCACTTGCAACTTCCGCAAAAAGAGTGTTTCAAATCTGCTCTGTCTAAAGGGACGTTCCACTCTGTGAGTTGAATGCACACAACACAAAAAAGTTACTGAGAACTCTTCTTAGTCTAGCATTAAAGGAAGAAACCCCGTTTGCAACGAAGGCCTCAAAGTAGGTCCAAATATCCACTTGCAGACATAACAAGCAGAGTGTTTCTAAACTGCTCTAAGAAAAGAAAGGTTAAACTCTGTGAGTTGAAGGCACACATCACAAAGTAGTTTCTGAGAATGATTCTGTCTAGTTTTTATTTGAAGATATTTCCTTTTCTACTGTTGGCATCAAATCGCTTGAAATCTCCACTTGCAAACTCCACAAAAAGAGTGTTTCAAATCTGCTCTGTGCAAAGGGACGTTCCACTCTGTGAGTTGAATACACACAGCACAAAGAAGTTACTGAGAATTCTTCTGTCTAGCATGAAATGAAGAAATCCCGTTTCCAACGAAGGCCTCAATGCGGTCCATATATCCACTTGCAGACTTTACAAACAGAGTGTTTCCAAACTGCTCTATGAAAAGAAAGGTTAAACTATGTGAGTTGAACGCACACATCACAAAGAATTTTCTGAGAATGATTCTGTCTGGTTTTTATTTGAAGATATTTCCCTTTCTACTGTTGGCATCAAATGGCTAGAAATCTCCACTTGCAAATTCCGCAAAAAGGGTGTTTCAAATCTGCTCTGTCTAAAGGGACGTTCCACTCTGTCAGTTGAATGCACACAACACAAAGAATTTACTGAGAATTCTTCCGTCTAGCATTCAATGAAGAAATCCCGTTTCCAACGAAGGCCTCAAACAGGTCCATATATCCAATTGCAGACTTTACAAACAGTGTGTTTCCAAACTCCTCTATGAAAAGAAAGGTTAAACTCTGTGAGTTGAACGCACACATCACAAAGCACTTTCTGAGAATGATTCTGTCTGGTTATTATACGAAGATATTTCCTTTTCTGCAATTGTCCTCAAATCGCTTGAAATCTCCACCTGAAAATGCCACAGCAAGAGTGTTTCAAATCTGCTCTCTCTAAAGCAAGGTTCAACTCTGTGAGTTGAATACACACAACACAAAAAAGTTACTGAGAACTCTTCTTAGTCTAGCATTAAAGGAAGAAACGCCGTTTGCAACGAAGGCCTCAAAGAGGTCCAAATATCCACTTGCAGACATAACAAGCAGAGTGTTTCTAAACTGCTCTAAGAAAAGAAAGGTTAAACTCTGTGAGTTGAAGGCACACATCACAAAGTAGTTTCTGAGAATGATTCTGTCTAGTTTTTATTTGAAGATATTTCCTTTTCTACTGTTGGCATCAAATCGCTTGAAATCTCCACTTGCAAACTCCACAAAAAGAGTGTTTCAAATCTGCTCTGTGCAAAGGGACGTTCCACTCTGTGAGTTGAATACACACAGCACAAAGAAGTTACTGAGAATTCTTCTGTCTAGCATGAAATGGAGAAATCCCGTTTCCAACGAACGCCTCAATGCGGTCCATATATCCACTTGCAGACTTTACAAACAGAGTGTTTTCAAACTGCTCTATGAAAAGAAAGGTTAAACTATGTGATTTGAACGCACACATCACAAAGAATTTTCTGAGAATGATTCTGTCTGGTTTTTATTTGAAGATATTTCCCTTTCTACTGTTGGCATCAAATGGCTAGAAATCTCCACTTGCAAATTCCGCAAAAAGAGTGTTTCAAATCTGCTCTGTCTAAAGGGACGTTCCACTCTGTGAGTTGAATGCACACAACACAAAGAATTTACTGAGAATTCTTCCGTCTAGCATTCAATGAAGAAATCCCGTTTCCAACGAAGGCCTCAAACAGGTCCATATATCCAATTGCAGACTTTACAAACAGTGTGTTTCCAAACTCCTCTATGAAAAGAAAGGTTAAACTCTGTGAGTTGAACGCACACATCACAAAGCACTTTCTGAGAATGATTCTGTCTGGTTATTATACGAAGATATTTCCTTTTCTGCAATTGTCCTCAAATCGCTTGAAATCTCCACCTGAAAATGCCACATCAAGAGTGTTTCAAATCTGCTCTCTCTAAAGCAAGGTTCAACTCTGTGAGTTGAATACACACAACACAAAAAAGTTACTGAGAACTCTTCTTAGTCTAGCATGAAAGGAAGAAACCCCGTTTGCAACGAAGGCCTCAAAGAGGTCCAAATATCCACTTGCAGACATAACAAGCAGAGTGTTTCTAAACTGCTCTAAGAAAAGAAAGGTTAAACTCTGTGAGTTGAAGGCACACATCACAAAGTAGTTTCTGAGAATGATTCTGTCTAGTTTTTATTTGAAGATATTTCCTTTTCTACTGTTGGCATCAAATCGCTTGAAATCTCCACTTGCAAACTCCACAAAAAGAGTGTTTCAAATCTGCTCTGTGCAAAGGGACGTTCCACTCTGTGAGTTGAATACACACAGCACAAAGAAGTTACTGAGAATTCTTCTGTCTAGCATGAAATGAAGAAATCCCGTTTCCAACGAAGGCCTCAATGCGGTCCATATATCCACTTGCAGACTTTACAAACAGAGTGTTTCCAAACTGCTCTATGAAAAGAAAGGTTAAACTATGTGAGTTGAACGCACACATCACAAAGAATTTTCTGAGAATGATTCTGTCTGGTTTTTATTTGAAGATATTTCCCTTTCTACTGTTGGCATCAAATGGCTAGAAATCTCCACTTGCAAATTCCGCAAAAAGAGTGTTTCAAATCTGCTCTGTCTAAAGGGACGTTCCACTCTGTGAGTTGAATGCACACAACACAAAGAATTTACTGAGAATTCTTCCGTCTAGCATTCAATGAAGAAATCCCGTTTCCAACGAAGGCCTCAAACAGGTCCATATATCCAATTGCAGACTTTACAAACAGTGTGTTTCCAAACTCCTCTATGAAAAGAAAGGTTAAACTCTGTGAGTGGAACGCACACATCACAAAGCACTTTCTGAGAATGATTCTGTCTGGTTGTTATACGAAGATATTTCCTTTTCTGCAATTGTCCTCAAATCGCTTGAAATCTCCACCTGAAAATGTCACAGCAAGAGTGTTTCAAATCTGCTCTCTCTAAAGCAAGGTTCAACTCTGTGAGTTGAATACACACAACACAGAAAAGTTACTGAGAACTCTTCTTAGTCTAGCATGAAAGGAAGAAACCCCGTTTGCAACGAAGGCCTCAAAGAGGTCCAAATATCCACTTGCAGACATAACAAGCAGAGTGTTTCTAAACTGCTCTAAGAAAAGAAAGGTTAAACTCTGTGAGTTGAAGGCACACATCACAAAGTAGTTTCTGAGAATGATTCTGTCTAGTTTTTATTTGAAGATATTTCCTTTTCTACTGTTGGCATCAAATCGCTTGAAATCTCCACTTGCAAACTCCACAAAAAGAGTGTTTCAAATCTGCTCTGTGTAAAGGGACGTTCCACTCTGTGAGTTGAATACACACAGCACAAAGAAGTTACAGAGAATTCTTCTGTCTAGCATGAAATGAAGAAATCCCGTTTCCAACGAAGGCCTCAATGCGGTCCATATATCCACTTGCAGACTTTACAAACAGAGTGTTTCCAAACTGCTCTATGAAAAGAAAGGTTAAACTATGTGAGTTGAACGCACACATCACAAAGAATTTTCTGAGAATGATTCTGTCTGGTTTTTATTTGAAGATATTTCCCTTTCTACTGTTGGCATCAAATGGCTAGAAATCTCCACTTGCAAATTCCGCAAAAAGAGTGTTTCAAATCTGCTCTGTCTAAAGGGACGTTCCACTCTGTGAGTTGAATGCACACAACACAAAGAATTTACTGAGAATTCTTCCGTCTAGCATGCAATGAAGAAATCCCGTTTCCAACGAAGGCCTCAAACAGGTCCATATATCCAATTGCAGACTTTACAAACAGTGTGTTTCCAAACTCCTCTATGAAAAGAAAGGTTAAACTCTGTGAGTTGAACGCACACATCACAAAGCACTTTCTGAGAATGATTCTGTCTGGTTATTATACGAAGATATTTCCTTTTCTGCAATTGTCCTCAAATCGCTTGAAATCTCCACCTGAAAATGCCACAGCAAGAGTGTTTCAAATCTGCTCTCTCTAAAGCAAGGTTCAACTCTGTGAGTTGAATACACACAACACAAAAAAGTTACTGAGAACTCTTCTTAGTCTAGCATGAAAGGAAGAAACCCCGTTTGCAACGAAGGCCTCAAAGAGGTCCAAATATCCACTTGCAGACATAACAAGCAGAGTGTTTCTAAAGTGCTCTAAGAAAAGAAAGGTTAAACTCTGTGAGTTGAAGGCACACATCACAAAGTAGTTTCTGAGAATGATTCTGTCTAGTTTTTATTTGAAGATATTTCCTTTTCTACTGTTGGCATCAAATCGCTTGAAATCTCCACTTGCAAACTCCACAAAAAGAGTGTTTCAAATCTGCTCTGTGTAAAGGGACGTTCCACTCTGTGAGTTGAATACACACAGCACAAAGAAGTTACTGAGAATTCTTCTGTCTAGCATGAAATGAAGAAATCCCGTTTCCAACGAAGGCCTCAATGCGGTCCATATATCCACTTGCAGACTTTACAAACAGAGTGTTTCCAAACTGCTCTATGAAAAGAAAGGTTAAACTATGTGAGTTGAACGCACACATCACAAAGAATTTTCTGAGAATGATTCTGTCTGGTTTTTATTTGAAGATATTTCCCTTTCTACTGTTGGCATCAAATGGCTAGAAATCTCCACTTGCAAATTCCGCAAAAAGAGTGTTTCAAATCTGCTCTGTCTAAAGGGACGTTCCACTCTGTGAGTTGAATGCACACAACACAAAGAATTTACTGAGAATTCTTCCGTCTAGCATTCAATGAAGAAATCCCGTTTCCAACGAAGGCCTCAAACAGGTCCATATATCCAATTGCAGACTTTACAAACAGTGTGTTTCCAAACTCCTCTATGAAAAGAAAGGTTAAACTCTGTGAGTTGAACGCACACATCACAAAACACTTTCTGAGAATGATTCTGTCTGGTTATTATACGAAGATATTTCCTTTTCTGCAATTGTCCTCAAATCGCTTGAAATCTCCACCTGAAAATGCCACAGCAAGAGTGTTTCAAATCTGCTCTCTCTAAAGCAAGGTTCAACTCTGTGAGTTGAATACACGCAACACAAAAAAGTTACTGAGAACTCTTCTTAGTCTAGCATGAAAGGAAGAAACCCCGTTTGCAACGAAGGCCTCAAAGTAGGTCCAAATATCCACTTGCAGACATAACAAGCAGAGTGTTTCTAAACTGCTCTAAGAAAAGAAAGGTTAAACTCTGTGAGTTGAAGGCACACATCACAAAGTAGTTTCTGAGAATGATTCTGTCTAGTTTTTATTTGAAGATATTTCCTTTTCTACTGTTGGCATCAAATCGCTTGAAATCTCCACTTGCAAACTCCACAAAAAGAGTGTTTCAAATCTGCTCTGTGTAAAGGGACGTTCCACTCTGTGAGTTGAATACACACAGCACAAAGAAGTTACTGAGAATTCTTCTGTCTAGCATGAAATGAAGAAATCCCGTTTCCAACGAAGGCCTCAATGCGGTCCATAGATCCACTTGCAGACTTTACAAACAGAGTGTTTCCAAACTGCTCTATGAAAAGAAAGGTTAAACTATGTGAGTTGAACGCACACATCACAAAGAATTTTCTGAGAATGATTCTGTCTGGTTTTTATTTGAAGATATTTCCCTTTCAACTGTTGGCATCAAATGGCTAGAAATCTCCACTTGCAAATTCCGCAAAAAGAGTGTTTCAAATCTGCTCTGTCTAAAGGGACGGTTCCACTCTGTGAGTTGAATGCACACAACACAAAGAATTTACTGAGAATTCTTCCGTCTAGCATTCAATGAAGAAATCCCGTTTCCAACGAAGGCCTCAAACAGGTCCATATATCCACTTGCAGACTTTACAAACAGTGTGTTTCCAAACTCCTCTATGAAAAGAAAGGTTAAACTCTGTGAGTGGAACGCACACATCACAAAGCACTTTCTGAGAATCATTCTGTCTGGTTATTATACGAAGTATATTTCCTTTTCTGCAATTGTCCTCAAATCGCTTGAAATCTCCACCTGAAAATGCCACAGCGAGAGTGTTTCAAATCTGCCCTCTCTAAAGCAAGGTTCAACTCTGTGAGTTGAATACACACAACACAAAAAAGTTACTGAGAACTCTTCTTAGTCTAGCATGAAAGGAAGAAACCCCGTTTGCAACGAAGGCCTCAAAGAGGTCCAAATATCCACTTGCAGACATAACAAGCAGAGTGTTTCTAAACTGCTCTAAGAAAAGAAAGGTTAAACTCTGTGAGTTGAAGGCACACATCACAAAGTAGTTTCTGAGAATGATTCTGTCTAGTTTTTATTTGAAGATATTTCCTTTTCTACTGTTGGCATCAAATCGCTTGAAATCTCCACTTGCAAACTCCACAAAAAGAGTGTTTCAAATCTGCTCTGTGCAAAGGGACGTTCCACTCTGTGAGTTGAATACACACAGCACAAAGAAGTTACTGAGAATTCTTCTGTCTAGCATGAAATGAAGAAATCCCGTTTCCAACGAAGGCCTCAATGCGGTCCATATATCCACTTGCAGACTTTACAAACAGAGTGTTTCCAAACTGCTCTATGAAAAGAAAGGTTAAACTATGTGAGTTGAACGCACACATCACAAAGAATTTTCTGAGAATGATTCTGTCTGGTTTTTATTTGAAGATATTTCCCTTTCTACTGTTGGCATCAAATGGCTAGAAATCTCCACTTGCAAATTCCGCAAAAAGAGTGTTTCAAATCTGCTCTGTCTAAAGGGACGTTCCACTCTGTGAGTTGAATGCACACCACACAAAGAATTTACTGAGAATTCTTCCGTCTAGCATTCAATGAAGAAATCCCGTTTCCAACGAAGGCCTCAAACAGGTCCATATATCCAATTGCAGACTTTACAAACAGTGTGTTTCCAAACTCGTCTATGAAAAGAAAGGTTAAACTCTGTGAGTTGAACGCACACATCACAAAGCACTTTCTGAGAATGATTCTGTCTGGTTATTATACGAAGATATTTCCTTTTCTGCAATTGTCCTCAAATCGCTTGAAATCTCCACCTGAAAATTCCACAGCGAGAGTGTTTCAAATCTGCTCTCTCTAAAGCAAGGTTCAACTCTGTGAGTTGAATACACACAACACAAAAAGGTTACTGAGAACTCTTCTTAGTCTAGCATTAAAGGAAGAAACCCCGTTTGCAACGAAGGCCTCAAAGAGGTCCAAATATCCACTTGCAGACATAACAAGCAGAGTGTTTCTAAGCTGCTCTAAGAAAAGAAAGGTTAAACTCTGTGAGTTGAAGGCACACATCACAAAGTAGTTTCTGAGAATGATTCTGTCTAGTTTTTATTTGAAGATATTTCCTTTTCTACTGTTGGCATAAAATCGCTTGAAATCTCCACTTGCAAACTCCACAAAAAGAGTGTTTCAAATCTGCTCTGTGCAAAGGGACGTTCCACTCTGTGAGTTGAATACACACAGCACAAAGAAGTTACTGAGAATTCTTCTGTCTAGCATGAAATGAAGAAATCCCGTTTCCAACGAAGGCCTCAATGCGGTCCATATATCCACTTGCAGACTTTACAAACAGAGTGTTTCCAAACTGCTCTATGAAAAGAAAGGTTAAACTATGTGAGTTGAACGCACACATCACAAAGAATTTTCTGAGAATGATTCTGTCTGGTTTTTATTTGAAGATATTTCCCTTTCTACTGTTGGCATCAAATGGCTAGAAATCTCCACTTGCAAATTCCGCAAAAAGAGTGTTTCAAATCTGCTCTGTCTAAAGGGACGTTCCACTCTGTGAGTTGAATGCACACAACACAAAGAATTTACTGAGAATTCTTTCCGTCTAGCATTCAATGAAGAAATCCCGTTTCCAACGAAGGCCTCAAACAGGTCCATATATCCAATTGCAGACGTTACAAACAGTGTGTTTCCAAACTCCTCTATGAAAAGAAAGGTTAAACTCTGTGAGTTGAACGCACACATCACAAAGCACTTTCTGAGAATGATTCTGTCTGGTTATTATACGAAGATATTTCCTTTTCTGCAATTGTCCTCAAATCGCTTGAAATCTCCACCTGAAAATGCCACAGCAAGAGTGTTTCACATCTGCTCTCTCTAAAGCAAGGTTCAACTCTGTGAGTTGAATACACACAACACAAAAAAGTTACTGAGAACTCTTCTTAGTCTAGCATGAAAGGAAGAAACCACGTTTGCAACGAAGGCCTCAAAGAGGTCCAAATATCCACTTGCAGACATAACAAGCAGAGTGTTTCTAAACTGCTCTAAGAAAAGAAAGGTTAAACTCTGTGAGTTGAAGGCACACATCACAAAGTAGTTTCTGAGAATGATTCTGTCTAGTTTTTATTTGAAGATATTTCCTTTTCTACTGTTGGCATCAAATCGCTTGAAATCTCCACTTGCAAACTCCACAAAAAGAGTGTTTCAAATCTGCTCTGTGTAAAGGGACGTTCCACTCTGTGAGTTGAATACACACAGCACAAAGAAGTTACTGAGAATTCTTCTGTCTAGCATGAAATGAAGAAATCCCGTTTCCAACGAAGGCCTCAATGCGGTCCATATATCCACTTGCAGACTTTACAAACAGAGTGTTTCCAAACTGCTCCATGAAAAGAAAGGTTAAACTATGTGAGTTGAACGCACACATCACAAAGAATTTTCTGAGAATGATTCTGTCTGGTTTTTATTTGAAGATATTTCCCTTTCTACTGTTGGCATCAAATGGCTAGAAATCTCCACTTGCAAATTCCGCAAAAAGAGTGTTTCAAATCTGCTCTGTCTAAAGGGACGTTCCACTCTGTGAGTTGAATGCACACAACACAAAGAATTTACTGAGAATTCTTCCGTCTAGCATTCAATGAAGAAATCCCGTTTCCAACGAAGGCCTCAAACAGGTCCATATATCCAATTGCAGACTTTACAAACAGTGTGTTTCCAAACTCCTCTATGAAAAGAAAGGTTAAACTCTGTGAGTGGAACGCACACATCACAAAGCACTTTCTGAGAATGATTCTGTCTGGTTGTTATACGAAGATATTTCCTTTTCTGCAATTGTCCTCAAATCGCTTGAAATCTCCACCTGAAAATGTCACAGCAAGAGTGTTTCAAATCTGCTCTCTCTAAAGCAAGGTTCAACTCTGTGAGTTGAATACACACAACACAAAAAAGTTACTGAGAACTCTTCTTAGTCTAGCATGAAAGGAAGAAACCCCGTTTGCAACGAAGGCCTCAAAGAGGTCCAAATATCCACTTGCAGACATAACAAGCAGAGTGTTTCTAAACTGCTCTAAGAAAAGAAAGGTTAAACTCTGTGAGTTGAAGGCACACATCACAAAGTAGTTTCTGAGAATGATTCTGTCTAGTTTTTATTTGAAGATATTTCCTTTTCTACTGTTGGCATCAAATCGCTTGAAATCTCCACTTGCAAACTCCACAAAAAGAGTGTTTCAAATCTGCTCTGTGTAAAGGGACGTTCCACTCTGTGAGTTGAATACACACAGCACAAAGAAGTTACTGAGAATTCTTCTGTCTAGCATGAAATGAAGAAATCCCGTTTCCAACGAAGGCCTCAATGCGGTCCATATATCCACTTGCAGACTTTACAAACAGAGTGTTTCCAAACCGCTCTATGAAAAGAAAGGTTAAACTATGTGAGTTGAACGCACACATCACAAAGAATTTTCTGAGAATGATTCTGTCTGGTTTTTATTTGAAGATATTTCCCTTTCTACTGTTGGCATCAAATGGCTAGAAATCTCCACTTGCAAATTCCGCAAAAAGAGTGTTTCAAATCTGCTCTGTCTAAAGGGACGTTCCACTCTGTGAGTTGAATGCACACAACACAAAGAATTTACTGAGAATTCTTCCGTCTAGCATTCAATGAAGAAATCCCGTTTCCAACGAAGGCCTCAAACAGGTCCATATATCCACTTGCAGACTTTACAAACAGTGTGTTTCCAAACTCCTCTATGAAAAGAAAGGTTAAACTCTGTGAGTGGAACGCACACATCACAAAGCGCTTTCTGAGAATGATTCTGTCTGGTTATTATACGAAGATATTTCCTTTTCTGCAATTGTCCTCAAATCGCTTGAAATCTCCACCTGAAAATGCCACAGCAAGAGTGTTTCAAATCTGCTCTCTCTAAAGCAAGGTTCAACTCTGTGAGTTGAATACACACAACACAAAAAAGTTACTGAGAACTCTTCTTAGTCTAGCATGAAAGGAAGAAACCCCGTTTGCAACGAAGGCCTCAAAGAGGTCCAAATATCCACTTGCAGACATAACAAGCAGAGTGTTTCTAAACTGCTCTAAGAAAAGAAAGGTTAAACTCTGTGAGTTGAAGGCACACATCACAAAGTAGTTTCTGAGAATGATTCTGTCTAGTTTTTATTTGAAGATATTTCCTTTTCTACTGTTGGCATCAAATCGCTTGAAATCTCCACTTGCAAACTCCACAAAAAGAGTGTTTCAAATCTGCTCTGTGCAAAGGGACGTTCCACTCTGTGAGTTGAATACACACAGCACAAAGAAGTTACTGAGAATTCTTCTGTCTAGCATGAAATGAAGAAATCCCGTTTCCAACGAAGGCCTCAATGCGGTCCATATATCCACTTGCAGACTTTACAAACAGAGTGTTTCCAAACTGCTCTATGAAAAGAAAGGTTAAACTATGTGAGTTGAACGCACACATCACAAAGAATTTTCTGAGAATGATTCTGTCTGGTTTTTATTTGAAGATATTTCCCTTTCTACTGTTGGCATCAAATGGCTAGAAATCTCCACTTGCAAATTCCGCAAAAAGAGTGTTTCAAATCTGCTCTGTCTAAAGGGACGTTCCACTCTGTGAGTTGAATGCACACAACACAAAGAATTTACTGAGAATTCTTCCGTCTAGCATTCAATGAAGAAATCCCGTTTCCAACGAAGGCCTCAAACAGGTCCATATATCCAATTGCAGACTTTACAAACAGTGTGTTTCCAAACTCCTCTATGAAAAGAAAGGTTAAACTCTGTGAGTTGAACGCACACATCACAAAGCACTTTCTGAGAATGATTCTGTCTGGTTATTATACGAAGATATTTCCTTTTCTGCAATTGTCCTCAAAACGCTTGAAATCTCCACCTGAAAATGCCACAGCAAGAGTGTTTCAAATCTGCTCTCTCTAAAGCAAGGTTCAACTCTGTGAGTTGAATACACACAACACAAAAAAGTTACTGAGAACTCTTCTTAGTCTAGCATGAAAGGAAGAAACCCCGTTTGCAACGAAGGCCTCAAAGAGGTCCAAATATCCACTTGCAGACATAACAAGCAGAGTGTTTCTAAACTGCTCTAAGAAAAGAAAGGTTAAACTCTGTGAGTTGAAGGCACACATCACAAAGTAGTTTCTGAGAATGATTCTGTCTAGTTTTTATTTGAAGATATTTCCTTTTCTACTGTTGGCATCAAATCGCTTGAAATTTCCACTTGCAAACTCCACAAAAAGAGTGTTTCAAATCTGCTCTGTGCAAAGGGACGTTCCACTCTGTGAGTTGAATACACACAGCACAAAGAAGTTACTGAGAATTCTTCTGTCTAGCATGAAATGAAGAAATCCCGTTTCCAACGAAGGCCTCAATGCGGTCCATATATCCACTTGCAGACTTTACAAACAGAGTGTTTCCAAACTGCTCTATGAAAAGAAAGGTTAAACTATGTGAGTTGAACGCACACATCACAAAGAATTTTCTGAGAATGATTCTGTCTGGTTTTTATTTGAAGATATTTCCCTTTCTACTCTTGGCATCAAATGGCTAGAAATCTCCACTTGCAAATTCCGCAAAAAGAGTGTTTCAAATCTGCTCTGTCTAAAGGGACGTTCCACTCTGTGAGTTGAATGCACACAACACAAAGAATTTACTGAGAATTCTTCCGTCTAGCATTCAATGAAGAAATCCCGTTTCCAAAGAAGGCCTCAAACAGGTCCATATATCCAATTGCAGACTTTACAAACAGTGTGTTTCCAAACTCCTCTATGAAAAGAAAGGTTAAACTCTGTGAGTTGAACGCACACATCACAAAGCACTTTCTGAGAATGATTTTGTCTGGTTATTATACGAAGATATTTCCTTTTCTGCAATTGTCCTCAAATCGCTTGAAATCTCCACCTGAAAATGCCACATCAAGAGTGTTTCAAATCTGCTCTCTCTAAAGCAAGGTTCAACTCTGTGAGTTGAATACACACAACACAAAAAAGTTACTGAGAACTCTTCTTAGTCTAGCATGAAAGGAAGAAACCCCGTTTGCAACGAAGGCCTCAAAGAGGTCCAAATATCCACTTGCAGACATAACAAGCAGAGTGTTTCTAAACTGCTCTAAGAAAAGAAAGGTTAAACTCTGTGAGTTGAAGGCACACATCACAAAGTAGTTTTTGAGAATGATTCTGTCTAGTTTTTATTTGAAGATATTTCCTTTTCTACTGTTGGCATCAAATCGCTTGAAATCTCCACTTGCAAACTCCACAAAAAGAGTGTTTCAAATCCGCTCTGTGCAAAGGGACGTTCCACTCTGTGAGTTGAATACACACAGCACAAAGAAGTTACTGAGAATTCTTCTGTCTAGCATGAAATGAAGAAATCCCGTTTCCAACGAAGGCCTCAATGCGGTCCATATATCCACTTGCAGACTTTACAAACAGAGTGTTTCCAAACTGCTCTATGAAAAGAAAGGTTAAACTATGTGAGTTGAACGCACACATCACAAAGAATTTTCTGAGAATGATTCTGTCTGGTTTTTATTTGAAGATATTTCCCTTTCTACTGTTGGCATCAAATGGCTAGAAATCTCCACTTGCAAATTCCGCAAAAAGAGTGTTTCAAATCTGCTCTGTCTAAAGGGACGTTCCACTCTGTGAGTTGAATGCACACCACACAAAGAATTTACTGAGAATTCTTCCGTCTAGCATTCAATGAAGAAATCCCGTTTCCAACGAAGGCCTCAAACAGGTCCATATATCCAATTGCAGACTTTACAAACAGTGTGTTTCCAAACTCCTCTATGAAAAGAAAGGTTAAACTCTGTGAGTTGAACGCACACATCACAAAGCACTTTCTGAGAATGATTCTGTCTGGTTGTTATACGAAGATATTTCCTTTTCTGCAATTGTCCTCAAATCGCTTGAAATCTCCACCTGAAAATGCCACAGCAAGAGTGTTTCAAATCTGCTCTCTCTAAAGCAAGGTTCAACTCTGTGAGTTGAATACACACAACACAAAAAAGTTACTGAGAACTCTTCTTAGTCTAGCATGAAAGGAAGAAACCCCGTTTGCAACGAAGGCCTCAAAGAGGTCCAAATATCCACTTGCAGACATAAGAAGCAGAGTGTTTCTAAACTGCTCTAAGAAAAGAAAGGTTAAACTCTGTGAGTTGAAGGCACACATCACAAAGTAGTTTCTGAGAATGATTCTGTCTAGTTTTTATTTGAAGATATTTCCTTTTCTACTGTTGGCATCAAATCGCTTGAAATCTCCACTTGCAAATTCCACAAAAAGAGTGTTTCAAATCTGCTCTGTGCAAAGGGACGTTCCACTCTGTGAGTTGAATACACACAGCACAAAGAAGTTACTGAGAATTCTTCTGTCTAGCATGAAATGAAGAAATCCC
The DNA here is from genome assembly GCF_000001405.40 of Homo sapiens. Classification (NCBI taxonomy): domain Eukaryota; kingdom Metazoa; phylum Chordata; class Mammalia; order Primates; family Hominidae; genus Homo; species Homo sapiens. The sequence goes on along the minus strand of NC_000007.14, from coordinate 58,290,610 downwards.
GTTTCCAACGAAGGCCTCAATGCGGTCCATATATCCACTTGCAGACTTTACAAACAGAGTGTTTCCAAACTGCTCTATGAAAAGAAAGGTTAAACTATGTGAGTTGAACGCACACATCACAAAGAATTTTCTGAGAATGATTCTGTCTGGTTTTTATTTGAAGATATTTCCCTTTCTACTGTTGGCATCAAATGGCTAGAAATCTCCACTTGCAAATTCCGCAAAAAGAGTGTTTCAAATCTGCTCTGTCTAAAGGGACGTTCCACTCTGTGAGTTGAATGCACACAACACAAAGAATTTACTGAGAATTCTTCCGTCTAGCATTCAATGAAGAAATCCCGTTTCCAACGAAGGCCTCAAACAGGTCCATATATCCACTTGCAGAGTTTACAAACAGTGTGTTTCCAAACTCCTCTATGAAAAGAAAGGTTAAACTCTGTGAGTGGAAAGCACACATCACAAAGCACTTTCTGAGAATGATTCTGTCTGGTTATTATACGAAGATATTCCCTTTTCTGCAATTTTCCTCAAATCGTTGAAATCTCCACCTGAAAATGCCACAGCAAGAGTGTTTCAAATCTGCTCTCTCTAAAGCAAGGTTCAACTCTGTGAGTTGAATACACACAGCACAAAGAAGTTACTGAGAATTCTTCTGTCTAGCATGAAATGAAGAAATCCCGTTTCCAACGAAGGCCTCAATGCGGTCCATATATCCACTTGCAGACTTTACAAACAGAGTGTTTCCAAACTGCTCTATGAAAAGAAAGGTTAAACTATGTGAGTTGAACGCACACATCACAAATAATTTTCTGAGAATGATTCTGTCTGGTTTTTATTTGAAGATATTTCCCTTTCTACTGTTGGCATCAAATGGCTAGAAATCTCCACTTGCAAATTCCACAAAAAGAGTGTTTCAAATCTGCTCTGTCTAAAGGGACGTTCCACTCTGTCAGTTGAATGCACACAACACAAAGTATTTACTGAGAATTCTTCCGTCTAGCATTCAATGAAGAAATCCCGTTTCCAACGAAGGCCTTAAACAGGTCCATATATCCAATTGCAGACTTTACAAACAGTGTGTTTCCAAACTCCTCTATGAAAAGAAAGGTTAAACTCTGTGAGTTGAACGCACACATCACAAAGCACTTTCTGAGAATTATTCTGTCTGGTTGTTATACGAAGATATTTCCTTTTCTGCAATTGTCCTCAAATCGCTTGAAATCTCCACCTGAAAATGCCACAGCAAGAGGGTTTCAAATCTGCTCTCTCTAAAGCAAGGTTCAGCTCTGTGAGTTGAATACACACAACACAAAAAAGTTACTGAGAACTCTTCTTAGTCTAGCATTAAAGGAAGAAACCCCGTTTGCAACGAAGGCCTCAAAGAGGTCCAAATATCCACTTGCAGACATAACAAGCAGAGTGTTTCTAAACTGCTCTAAGAAAAGAAAGGTTAAACTCTGTGAGTTGAAGGCACACATCACAAAGTAGTTTCTGAGAATGATTCTGTCTAGTTTTTATTTGAAGATATTTCCTTTTCTACTGTTGGCATCAAATCGCTTGAAATCTCCACTTGCAAATTCCACAAAAAGAGTGTTTCAAATCTGCTCTGTGCAAAGGGACGTTCCACTCTGTGAGTTGAATACACACAGCACAAAGAAGTTACTGAGAATTCTTCTGTCTAGCATGAAATGAAGAAATCCCGTTTCCAACGAAGGCCTCAATGCGGTCCATAGATCCACTTGCAGACTTTACAAACAGAGTGTTTCCAAACTGCTCTATGAAAAGAAAGGTTAAACTATGTGAGTTGAACGCACACATCACAAAGAATTTTCTGAGAATGATTCTGTCTGGTTTTTATTTGAAGATATTTCCCTTTCTACTGTTGGCATCAAATGGCTAGAAATCTCCACTTGCAAATTCCGCAAAAAGAGTGTTTCAAATCTGCTCTGTCTAAAGGGACGTTCCACTCTGTGAGTTGAATGCACACAACACAAAGAATTTACTGAGAATTCTTCCGTCTAGCATTCAATGAAGAAATCCCGTTTCCAACGAAGGCCTCAAACAGGTCCATATATCCACTTGCAGAGTTTACAAACAGTTTGTTTCCAAACTCCTCTATGAAAAGAAAGGTTAAACTCTGTGAGTGGAACGCACACATCACAAAGCACTTTCTGAGAATGATTCTCTCTGGTTATTATACGAAGATATTTCCTTTTCTGCAATTGTCCTCAAATCGCTTGAAATCTCCACCTGAAAATGCCACAGCAAGAGTGTTTCAAATCTGCTCTCTCTAAAGCAAGGTTCAACTCTGTGAGTTGAATACACACAACACAAAAAAGTTACTGAGAACTCTTCTTAGTCTAGCATGAAAGGAAGAAACCCCGTTTGCAACGAAGGCCTCAAAGAGGTCCAAATATCCACTTGCAGACATAACAAGCAGAGTGTTTCTAAACTGCTCTAAGAAAAGAAAGGTTAAACTCTGTGAGTTGAAGGCACACATCACAAAGTAGTTTCTGAGAATGATTCTGTCTAGTTTTTATTTGAAGATATTTCCTTTTCTACTGTTGGCATCAAATCGCTTGAAATATCCACTTGCAAACTCCACAAAAAGAGTGTTTCAAATCTGCTCTGTGCAAAGGGACGTTCCACTCTGTGAGTTGAATACACACAGCACAAAGAAGTTACTGAGAATTCTTCTGTCTAGCATGAAATGAAGAAATCCCGTTTCCAACGAAGGCCTCAATGCGGTCTATATATCCACTTGCAGACTTCACAAACAGAGTGTTTCCAAACTGCTCTATGAAAAGAAAGGTTAAACTATGTGAGTTGAACGCACACATCACAAAGAATTTTCTGAGAATGATTCTGTCTGGTTTTTATTTGAAGATATTTCCCTTTCTACTGTTGGCATCAAATGGCTAGAAATCTCCACTTGCAAATTCCGCAAAAAGAGTGTTTCAAATCTGCTCTGTCTAAAGGGACGTTCCACTCTGTGAGTTGAATGCACACAACACAAAGAATTTACTGAGAATTCTTCCGTCTAGCATTCAATGAAGAAATCCCGTTTCCAACGAAGGCCTCAAACAGGTCCATATACCCAATTGCAGACTTTACAAACAGTGTGTTTCCAAACTCCTCTATGAAAAGAAAGGTTAAACTCTGTGAGTTGAACGCACACATCACAAAGCACTTTCTGAGAATGATTCTGTCTAGTTTTTATTTGAAGATATTTCCCTTTCTACTGTTGGCATCAAATGGCTAGAAATCTCCACTTGCAACTTCCGCAAAAAGAGTGTTTCAAATCTGCTCTGTCTAAAGGGACGTTCCACTGTGTGAGTTGAATGCACACAACACAAAGAATTTACTGAGAATTCTTCCGTCTAGCATTCAATGAAGAAATCCCGTTTCCAACGAAGGCCTCAAACAGGTCCATATATCCACTTGCAGACGTTACAAACAGTGTGTTTCCAAACTCCTCTATGAAAAGAAAGGTTAAACTCTGTGAGTTGAACGCACACATCACAAAGCACTTTCTGTGAATGATTCTGTCTGGTTATTATACGAAGATATTTCCTTTTCTGCAATTGTCCTCAAATCGCTTGAAATCTCCACCTGAAAATGCCACAGCAAGAGTGTTTCAAATCTGCTCTCTCTAAAGCAAGGTTCAACTCTGTGAGTTGAATACACACAACACAAAAAAGTTACTGAGAACTCTTCTTAGTCTAGCGTGAAAGGAAGAAACCCCGTTTGCAACGAAGGCCTCAAAGAGGTCCAAATATCCACTTGCAGACATAACAAGGAGAGTGTTTCTAAACTGCTCTAAGAAAAGAAAGGTTAAACTCTGTGAGTTGAAGGCACACATCACAAAGTAGTTTCTGAGAATGATTCTGTCTAGTTTTTATTTGAAGATATTTCCTTTTCTACTGTTGGCATCAAATCGCTTGAAATCTCCACTTGCAAACTCCACAAAAAGAGTGTTTCAAATCTGCTCTGTGCAAAGGGACGTTCCACTCTGTGAGTTGAATACACACAGCACAAAGAAGTTACTGAGAATTCTTCTGTCTACCATGAAATGAAGAAATCCCGTTTCCAACGAAGGCCTCAATGCGGTCCATATATCCACTTGCAGACTTTACAAACAGAGTGTTTCCAAACTGCTCTATGAAAAGAAAGGTTAAACTATGTGAGTTGAACACACACATCACAACGAATTTTCTGAGAATGATTCTGTCTGGTTTTTATTTGAAGATATTTCCCTTTCTACTGTTGACATCAAATGGCTAGAAATCTCCACTTGCAAATTCCGCAAAAAGAGTGTTTCAAATCTGCTCTGTCTAAAGGGACGTTCCACTCTGTGAGTTGAATGCACACAACACAAAGAATTTACTGAGAATTCTTCCGTCTAGCATTCATGAAGAAATCCCGTTTCCAACGAAGGCCTCAAACAGGTCCATATATCCAATTGCAGACTTTACAAACAGTGTGTTTCCAAACTCCTCTATGAAAAGAAAGGTTAAACTCTGTGAGTTGAACGCACACATCACAAAGCACTTTCTGAGAATGATTCTGTCTGGTTGTTATACGAAGATATTTCCTTTTCTGCAATTGTCCTCAAATCGCTTGAAATCTCCACCTGAAAATGCCACAGCAAGAGTGTTTCAAATCTGCTCTCTCTAAAGCAAGGTTCAACTCTGTGAGTTGAATACACACAACACAAAAAAGTTACTGAGAACTCTTCTTAGTCTAGCATGAAAGGAAGAAACCCCGTTTGCAACGAAGGCCTCAAAGAGGTCCAAATATCCACTTGCAGACATAACAAGCAGAGTGTTTCTAAACTGCTCTAAGAAAAGAAAGGTTAAACTCTGTGAGTTGAAGGCACACATCACAAAGTAGTTTCTGAGAATGATTCTGTCTAGTTTTTATTTGAAGATATTTCCTTTTCTACTGTTGGCATCAAATCGCTTGAAATCTCCACTTGCAAACTCCACAAAAAGAGTGTTTCAAATCTGCTCTGTGTAAAGGGACGTTCCACTCTGTGAGTTGAATACACACAGCACAAAGAAGTTACTGAGAATTCTTCTGTCTAGCATGAAATGAAGAAATCCCGTTTCCAACGAAGGCCTCAATGCGGTCCATATATCCACTTGCAGACTTTACAAACAGAGTGTTTCCAAAATGCTCTATGAAAAGAAAGGTAAAACTATGTGAGTTGAACGCACACATCACAAAGAATTTTCTGAGAATGATTCTGTCTGGTTTTTATTTGAAGATATTTCCCTTTCTACTGTTGGCATCAAATGGCTAGAAATCTCCACTTGCAAATTCCGCAAAAAGAGTGTTTCAAATCTGCTCTGTCTAAAGGGACGTTCCACTCTGTGAGTTGAATGCACACAACACAAAGAATTTACTGAGAATTCTTCCGTCTAGCATTCAATGAAGAAATCCCGTTTCCAACGAAGGCCTCAAACAGGTCCATATATCCACTTGCAGACTTTACAAACAGTGTGTTTCCAAACTCCTCTATGAAAAGAAAGGTTAAACTCTGTGAGTTGAACGCACACATCACAAAGCACTTCCTGAGAATGATTCTGTCTGGTTATTATACGAAGATATTTCCTTTTCTGCAATTGTCCTCAAATCGCTTGAAATCTCCACCTGAAAATGCCACAGCAAGAGTGTTTCAAATCTGCTCTCTCTAAAGCAAGGTTCAACTCTGTGAGTTGAATACACACAACACAAAAAAGTTACTGAGAACTCTTCTTAGTCTAGCATGAAAGGAAGAAACCCCGTTTGCAACGAAGGCCTCAAAGAGGTCCAAATATCCACTTGCAGACATAACAAGCAGAGTGTTTCTAAACTGCTCTAAGAAAAGAAAGGTTAAACTCTGTGAGTTGAAGGCACACATCACAAAGTAGTTTCTGAGAATGATTCTGTCTAGTTTTTATTTGAAGATATTTCCTTTTCTACTGTTGGCATCAAATCGCTTGAAATCTCCACTTGCAAACTCCACAAAAAGAGTGTTTAAAATCTGCTCTGTGCAAAGGGACGTTCCACTGCTGTGAGTTGAATACACACAGCACAAAGAAGTTACTGAGAATTCTTCTGTCTAGCATGAAATGAAGAAATCCCGTTTCCAACGAAGGCCTCAATGCGGTCCATATATCCACTTGCAGACTTTACAAACAGAGTGTTTCCAAACTGCTCTATGAAAAGAAAGGTTAAACTATGTGAGTTGAACGCACACATCACAAAGAATTTTCTGAGAATGATTCTGTCTGGTTTTTATTTGAAGATATTTCCCTTTCTACTGTTGGCATCAAATGGCTAGAAATCTCCACTTGCAAATTCCGCAAAAAGAGTGTTTCAAATCTGCTCTGTCTAAAGGGACGTTCCACTCTGTGAGTTGAATGCACACAACACAAAGAATTTACTGAGAATTCTTCCGTCTAGCATTCAATGAAGAAATCCCGTTTCCAACGAAGGCCTCAAACAGGTCCATATATCCTCTTGCAGAGTTTACAAACAGGGTGTTTCCAAACTCCTCTATGAAAAGAAAGGTTAAACTCTGTGAGTGGAACGCACACATCACAAAGCACTTTCTGAGAATGATTCTGTCTGGTTGTTATACGAAGATATTTCCTTTTCTGCAATTGTCCTCAAATCGCTTGAAATCTCCACCTGAAAATGCCACAGCAAGAGTGTTTCAAATCTGCTCTCTCTAAAGCAAGGTTCAGCTCTGTGAGTTGAATACACACAACACAAAAAAGTTACTGAGAACTCTTCTTAGTCTAGCATGAAAGGAAGAAACCCCGTTTGCAACGAAGGCCTCAAAGAGGTCCAAATATCCACTTGCAGACATAACAAGCAGAGTGTTTCTAAACTGCTCTAAGAAAAGAAAGGTTAAACTCTGTGAGTTGAAGGCACACATCACAAAGTAGTTTCTGAGAATGATTCTGTCTAGTTTTTATTTGAAGATATTTCCTTTTCTACTGTTGGCATCAAATCGCTTGAAATCTCCACTTGCAAACTCCACAAAAAGAGTGTTTCAAATCTGCTCTGTGTAAAGGGACGTTCCACTCTGTGAGTTGAATACACACAGCACAAAGAAGTTACTGAGAATTCTTCTGTCTAGCATGAAATGAAGAAATCCCGTTTCCAACGAAGGCCTCAATGCGGTCCATATATCCACTTGCAGACTTTACAAACAGAGTGTTTCCAAACTGCTCTATGAAAAGAAAGGTTAAACTATGTGAGTTGAACGCACACATCACAAAGAATTTTCTGAGAATGATTCTGTCTGGTTTTTATTTGAAGATATTTCCCTTTCTACTGTTGGCATCAAATGGCAAGAAATCTCCACTTGCAAATTCCGCAAAAAGAGTGTTTCAAATCTGCTCTGTCTAAAGGGACGTTCCACTCTGTGAGTTGAATGCACACAACACAAAGAATTTACTGAGAATTCTTCCGTCTAGCATTCAATGAAGAAATCCCGTTTCCAACGAAGGCCTCAAACAGGTCCATATATCCAATTGCAGACTTTACAAACAGTGTGTTTCCAAACTCCTCTATGAAAAGAAAGGTTAAACTCTGTGAGTTGAACGCACACATCACAAAGCACTTTCTGAGAATGATTCTGTCTGGTTATTATACGAAGATATTTCCTTTTCTGCAATTGTCCTCAAATCGCTTGAAATCTCCACCTGAAAATGCCACAGCAAGAGTGTTTCAAATCTGCTCTCTCTAAAGCAAGGTTCAACTCTGTGAGTTGAATACACACAACACAAAAAAGTTACTGAGAACTCTTCTTAGTCTAGCATGAAAGGAAGAAACCCCGTTTGCAACGAAGGCCTCAAAGAGGTCCAAATATCCACTTGCAGACATAACAAGCAGAGTGTTTCTAAACTGCTCTAAGAAAAGAAAGGTTAAACTCTGTGAGTTGAAGGCACACATCACAAAGTAGTTTCTGAGAATGATTCTGTCTAGTTTTTATTTGAAGATATTTCCTTTTCTACTGTTGGCATCAAATCGCTTGAAATCTCCACTTGCAAACTCCACAAAAAGAGTGTTTCAAATCTGCTCTGTGTAAAGGGACGTTCCACTCTGTGAGTTGAATACACACAGCACAAAGAAGTTACTGAGAATTCTTCTGTCTAGCATGAAATGAAGAAATCCCGTTTCCAACGAAGGCCTCAATGCGGTCCATATATCCACTTGCAGACTTTACAAACAGAGTGTTTCCAAACTGCTCTATGAAAAGAAAGGTTAAACTATGTGAGTTGAACGCACACATCACAAAGAATTTTCTGAGAATGATTCTGTCTGGTTTTTATTTGAAGATATTTCCCTTTCTACTGTTGGCATCAAATGGCTAGAAATCTCCACTTGCAAATTCCGCAAAAAGAGTGTTTCAAATCTGCTCTGTCTAAAGGGACGTTCCACTCTGTCAGTTGAATGCACACAACACAAAGAATTTACTGAGAATTCTTCCGTCTAGCATTCAATGAAGAAATCCCGTTTCCAACGAAGGCCTCAAACAGGTCCATATATCCACTTGCAGACTTTACAAACAGTGTGTTTCCAAACTCCTCTATGAAAAGAAAGGTTAAACTCTGTGAGTGCAACGCACACATCACAAAGCACTTTCTGAGAATGATTCTGTCTGGTTATTATACGAAGATATTTCCTTTTCTGCAATTGTCCTCAAATCGCTTGAAATCTCCACCTGAAAATGCCACAGCAAGAGTGTTTCAAATCTGCTCTCTCTAAAGCAAGGTTCAACTCTGTGAGTTGAATACACACAACACAAAAAAGTTACTGAGAACTCTTTCTTAGTCTAGCATGAAAGGAAGAAACCCCGTTTGCAACGAAGGCCTCAAAGAGGTCCAAATATCCACTTGCAGACATAACAAGCAGAGTGTTTCTAAACTGCTCTAAGAAAAGAAAGGTTAAACTCTGTGAGTTGAAGGCACACATCACAAAGTAGTTTCTGAGAATGATTCTGTCTAGTTTTTATTTGAAGATATTTCCTTTTCTACTGTTGGCATCAAATCGCTTGAAATCTCCACTTGCAAACTCCACAAAAAGAGTGTTTCAAATCTGCTCTGTGTAAAGGGACGTTCCACTCTGTGAGTTGAATACACACAGCACAAAGAAGTTACTGAGAATTCTTCTGTCTAGCATGAAATGAAGAAATCCCGTTTCCAACGAAGGCCTCAATGCGGTCCATATATCCACTTGCAGACTTTACAAACAGAGTGTTTCCAAACTGCTCTATGAAAAGAAAGGTTAAACTATGTGAGTTGAACGCACACATCACAAAGAATTTTCTGAGAATGATTCTGTCTGGTTTTTATTTGAAGATATTTCCCTTTCTACTGTTGGCATCAAATGGCTAGAAATCTCCACTTGCAAATTCCGCAAAAAGAGTGTTTCAAATCTGCTCTGTCTAAAGGGACGTTCCACTCTGTGAGTTGAATGCACACAACACAAAGAATTTACTGAGAATTCTTCCGTCTACCATTCAATGAAGAAATCCCGTTTCCAACGAAGGCCTCAAACAGGTCCATATATCCACTTGCAGACTTTACAAACAGTGTGTTTCCAAACTCCTCTATGAAAAGAAAGGTTGAACTCTGTGAGTTGAACGCACACATCACAAAGCACTTTCTGAGAATGATTCTGTCTGGTTATTATACGAAGATATTTCCTTTTCTGCAATTGTCCTCAAATCGCTTGAAATCTCCACCTGAAAATGCCACAGCAAGAGTGTTTCAAATCTGCTCTCTCTAAAGCAAGGTTCAACTCTGTGAGTTGAATACACACAACACAAAAAAGTTACTGAGAACTCTTCTTAGTCTAGCATGAAAGGAAGAAACCCCGTTTGCAACGAAGGCCTCAAAGAGGTCCAAATATCCACTTGCAGACATAACAAGCAGAGTGTTTCTAAACTGCTCTAAGAAAAGAAAGGTTAAACTCTGTGAGTTGAAGGCACACATCACAAAGTAGTTTCTGAGAATGATTCTGTCTAGTTTTTATTTGAAGATATTTCCTTTTCTACTGTTGGCATCAAATCGCTTGAAATCTCCACTTGCAAACTCCACAAAAAGAGTGTTTCAAATCTGCTCTGTGCAAAGGGACGTTCCACTCTGTGAGTTGAATACACACAGCACAAAGAAGTTACTGAGAATTCTTCTGTCTAGCATGAAATGAAGAAATCCCGTTTCCAACGAAGGCCTCAATGCGGTCCATATATCCACTTGCAGACTTTACAAACAGAGTGTTTCCAAACTGCTCTATGAAAAGAAAGGTTAAACTATGTGAGTTGAACGCACACATCACAAAGAATTTTCTGAGAATGATTCTGTCTGGTTTTTATTTGAAGATATTTCCCTTTCTACTGTTGGCATCAAATGGCTAGAAATCTCCACTTGCAAATTCCGCAAAAAGAGTGTTTCAAATCTGCTCTGTCTAAAGGGACGTTCCACTCTGTGAGTTGAATGCACACAACACAAAGAATTTACTGAGAATTCTTCCGTCTAGCATTCAATGAAGAAATCCCGTTTCCAACGAAGGCCTCAAAGAGGTCCATATATCCACTTGCAGACTTTACAAACAGTGTGTTTCCAAACTCCTCTATGAAAAGAAAGGTTAAACTCTGTGAGTGGAACGCACACATCACAAAGTACTTTCTGAGAATGATTTTGTCTGGTTATTATACGAAGATATTTCCTTTTCTGCAATTGTCCTCAAATCGCTTGAAATCTCCACCTGAAAATGCCACAGCAAGAGTGTTTCAAATCTGCTCTCTCTAAAGCAAGGTTCAACTCTGTGAGTTGAATACACACAACACAAAAAAGTTACTGAGAACTCTTCTTAGTCTAGCATGAAAGGAAGAAACCCCGTTTGCAACGAAGGCCTCAAAGAGGTCCAAATATCCACTTGCAGACATAACAAGCAGAGTGTTTCTAAACTGCTCTAAGAAAAGAAAGGTTAAACTCTGTGAGTTGAAGGCACACATCACAAAGTAGTTTCTGAGAATGATTCTGTCTAGTTTTTATTTGAAGATATTTCCTTTTCTACTGTTGGCATCAAATCGCTTGAAATCTCCACTTGCAAATTCCACAAAAAGAGTGTTTCAAATCTGCTCTGTGCAAAGGGACGTTCCACTCTGTGAGTTGAATACACACAGCACAAAGAAGTTACTGAGAATTCTTCTGTCTAGCATGAAATGAAGAAATCCCGTTTCCAACGAAGGCCTCAATGCGGTCCATATATCCACTTGCAGACTTTACAAACAGAGTGTTTCCAAACTGCTCTATGAAAAGAAAGGTTAAACTATGTGAGTTGAATGCACACATCACAAAGAATTTTCTGAGAATGATTCTGTCTGGTTTTTATTTGAAGATATTTCCCTTTCTACTGTTGGCATCAAATGGCTAGAAATCTCCACTTGCAAATTCCGCAAAAAGAGTGTTTCAAATCTGCTCTGTCTAAAGGGACGTTCCACTCTGTGAGTTGAATGCACACAACACAAAGAATTTACTGAGAATTCTTCCGTCTAGCATTCAATGAAGAAATCCCGTTTCCAACGAAGGCCTCAAACAGGTCCATATATCCAATTGCAGACTTTACAAACAGTGTGTTTCCAAACTCCTCTATGAAAAGAAAGGTTAAACTCTGTGAGTTGAACGCACACATCACAAAGCACTTTCTGAGAATGATTCTGTCTGGTTATTATACGAAGATATTTCCTTTTCTGCAATTGTCCTCAAATCGCTTGAAATCTCCACCTGAAAATGCCACAGCAAGAGTGTTTCAAATCTGCTCTCTCTAAAGCAAGGTTCAACTCTGTGAGTTGAATACACACAACACAAAAAAGTTACTGAGAACTCTTCTTAGTCTAGCATTAAAGGAAGAAACCCCGTTTGCAACGAAGGCCTCAAAGAGGTCCAAATATCCACTTGCAGACATAACAAGCAGAGTGTTTCTAAACTGCTCTAAGAAAAGAAAGGTTAAACTCTGTGAGTTGAAGGCACACATCACAAAGTAGTTTCTGAGAATGATTCTGTCTAGTTTTTATTTGAAGATATTTCCTTTTCTACTGTTGGCATCAAATCGCTTGAAATCTCCACTTGCAAACTCCACAAAAAGAGTGTTTCAAATCTGCTCTGTGTAAAGGGACGTTCCACTCTGTGAGTTGAATACACACAGCACAAAGAAGTTACTGAGAATTCTTCTATCTAGCATGAAATGAAGAAATCCCGTTTCCAACGAAGGCCTCAATGCGGTCCATATATCCACTTGCAGACTTTACAAACAGAGTGTTTCCAAACTGCTCTATGAAAAGAAAGGTTAAACTATGTGAGTTGAACGCACACATCACAAAGAATTTTCTGAGAATGATTCTGTCTGGTTTTTATTTGAAGATATTTCCCTTTCTACTGTTGGCATCAAATGGCTAGAAATCTCCACTTGCAAATTCCGCAAAAAGAGTGTTTCAAATCTGCTCTGTCTAAAGGGACGTTCCACTCTGTGAGTTGAATGCACACAACACAAAGAATTTACTGAGAATTCTTCCGTCTAGCATTCAATGAAGAAATCCCGTTTCCAACGAAGGCCTCAAACAGGTCCATATATCCACTTGCAGACTTTACAAACAGTGTGTTTCCAAACTCCTCTATGAAAAGAAAGGTTAAACTCTGTGAGTTGAACGCACACATCACAAAGCACTTTCTGAGAATGATTCTGTCTGGTTATTATACGAAGATATTTCCTTTTCTGCAATTGTCCTCAAATCGCTTGAAATCTCCACCTGAAAATGCCACAGCAAGAGTGTTTCAAATCTGCTCTCTCTAAAGCAAGGTTCAACTCTGTGAGTTGAATACACACAACACAAAAAAGTTACTGAGAACTCTTCTTAGTCTAGCATGAAAGGAAGAAACCCCGTTTGCAACGAAGGACTCAAAGAGGTCCAAATATCCACTTGCAGACATAACAAGCAGAGTGTTTCTAAACTGCTCTAAGAAAAGAAAGGTTGAACTCTGTGAGTTGAAGGCACACATCACAAAGTAGTTTCTGAGAATGATTCTGTCTAGTTTTTATTTGAGAATTTCCTTTTCTACTGTTGGCATCAAATCGCTTGAAATCTCCACTTGCAAACTCCACAAAAAGAGTGTTTCAAATCTGCTCTGTGTAAAGGGACGTTCCACTCTGTGAGTTGAATACACACAGCACAAAGAAGTTACTGAGAATTCTTCTGTCTAGCATGAAATGAAGAAATCCCGTTTCCAACGAAGGCCTCAATGCGGTCCATATATCCACTTGCAGACTTTACAAACAGAGTGTTTCCAAACCGCTCTATGAAAAGAAAGGTTAAACTATGTGAGTTGAACGCACACATCACAAAGAATTTTCTGAGAATGATTCTGTCTGGTTTTTATTTGAAGATATTTCCCTTTCTACTGTTGGCATCAAATGGCTAGAAATCTCCACTTGCAAATTCCGCAAAAAGAGTGTTTCAAATCTGCTCTGTCTAAAGGGACGTTCCACTCTGTGAGTTGAATGCACACAACACAAAGAATTTACTGAGAATTCTTCCGTCTAGCATTCAATGAAGAAATCCCGTTTCCAACGAAGGCCTCAAACAGGTCCATATATCCAATTGCAGACTTTACAGTGTGTTTCCAAACTCCTCTATGAAAAGAAAGGTTAAACTCTGTGAGTTGAACGCACACATCACAAAGCACTTTCTGAGAATGATTCTGTCTGGTTATTATACGAAGATATTTCCTTTTCTGCAATTGTCCTCAAATCGCTTGAAATCTCCACCTGAAAATGCCACAGCAAGAGTGTTTCAAATCTGCTCTCTCTAAAGCAAGGTTCAACTCTGTGAGTTGAATACACACAACACAAAAAAGTTACTGAGAACTCTTCTTAGTCTAGCATTAAAGGAAGAAACCCCGTTTGCAACGAAGGCCTCAAAGAGGTCCAAATATCCACTTGCAGACATAACAAGCAGAGTGTTTCTAAACTGCTCTAAGAAAAGAAAGGTTAAACTCTGTGAGTTGAAGGCACACATCACAAAGTAGTTTCTGAGAATGATTCTGTCTAGTTTTTATTTGAAGATATTTCCTTTTCTACTGTTGGCATCAAATCGCTTGAAATCTCCACTTGCAAATTCCACAAAAAGAGTGTTTCAAATCTGCTCTGTGCAAAGGGACGTTCCACTCTGTGAGTTGAATACACACAGCACAAAGAAGTTACTGAGAATTCTTCTGTCTAGCATGAAATGAAGAAATCCCGTTTCCAACGAAGGCCTCAATGCGGTCCATAGATCCACTTGCAGACTTTACAAACAGAGTGTTTCCAAACTGCTCTATGAAAAGAAAGGTTAAACTATGTGAGTTGAACGCACACATCACAAAGAATTTTCTGAGAATGATTCTGTCTGGTTTTTATTTGAAGATATTTCCCTTTCTACTGTTGGCATCAAATGGCTAGAAATCTCCACTTGCAAATTCCGCAAAAAGAGTGTTTCAAATCTGCTCTGTCTAAAGGGACGTTCCACTCTGTGAGTTGAATGCACACAACACAAAGAATTTACTGAGAATTCTTCCGTCTAGCATTCAATGAAGAAATCCCGTTTCCAACGAAGGCCTCAAACAGGTCCATATATCCACTTGCAGACTTTACAAACAGTGTGTTTCCAAACTCCTCTATGAAAAGAAAGGTTAAACTCTGTGAGTTGAGCGCACACATCACAAAGCACTTTCTGAGAATGATTCTGTCTGGTTATTATACGAAGATATTTCCTTTTCTGCAATTGTCCTCAAATCGCTTGAAATCTCCACCTGAAAATTCCACAGCGAGAGTGTTTCAAATCTGCTCTCTCTAAAGCAAGGTTCAACTCTGTGAGTTGAATACACACAACACAAAAAACTTACTGAGAACTCTTCTTAGTCTAGCATTAAAGGAAGAAACCCCTTTTGCAACGAAGGCCTCAAAGAGGTCCAAATATCCACTTGCAGACATAACAAGCAGAGTGTTTCTAAACTGCTCTAAGAAAAGAAAGGTTAAACTCTGTGAGTTGAAGGCACACATCACAAAGTAGTTTCTGAGAATGATTCTGTCTAGTTTTTATTTGAAGATATTTCATTTTCTACTGTTGGCATCAAATCGCTTGAAATATCCACTTGCAAACTCCACAAAAAGAGTGTTTCAAATCTGCTTCTGTGTAAAGGGACGTTCCACTCTGTGAGTTGAATACACACAGCACAAAGAAGTTACTGAGAATTCTTCTGTCTAGCATGAAATGAAGAAATCCCGTTTCCAACGAAGGCCTCAATGCGGTCCATAGATCCACTTGCAGACTTTACAAACAGAGTGTTTCCAAACTGCTCTATGAAAAGAAAGGTTAAACTATGTGAGTTGAACGCACACATCACAAAGAATTTTCTGAGAATGATTCTGTCTGGTTTTTATTTGAAGATATTTCCCTTTCTACTGTTGGCATCAAATGGCTAGAAATCTCCACTTGCAAATTCCGCAAAAAGAGTGTTTCAAATCTGCTCTGTCTAAAGGGACGTTCCACTCTGTGAGTTGAATGCACACAACACAAAGAATTTACTGAGAATTCTTCCGTCTAGCATTCAATGAAGAAATCCCGTTTCCAACGAAGGCCTCAAACAGGTCCATATATCCAATTGCAGACTTTACAAACAGTGTGTTTCCAAACTCCTCTATGAAAAGAAAGGTTAAACTCTGTGAGTTGAACGCACACATCACAAAGCACTTTCTGAGAATGATTCTGTCTGGTTATTATACGAAGATATTTCCTATTCTGCAATTGTCCTCAAATCGCTTGAAATCTCCACCTGAAAATGCCACAGCAAGAGTGTTTCAAATCTGCTCTCTCTAAAGCAAGGTTCAACTCTGTGAGTTGAATACACACAACACAAAAAGTTACTGAGAACTCTTCTTAGTCTAGCATGAAAGGAAGAAACCCCGTTTGCAACGAAGGCCTCAAAGAGGTCCAAATATCCACTTGCAGACATAACAAGCAGAGTGTTTCTAAACTGCTCTAAGAAAAGAAAGGTTAAACTCTGTGAGTTGAAGGCACACATCACAAAGTAGTTTTTGAGAATGATTCTGTCTAGTTTTTATTTGAAGATATTTCCTTTTCTACTGTTGGCATCAAATCGCTTGAAATCTCCACTTGCAAACTCCACAAAAAGAGTGTTTCAAATCCGCTCTGTGCAAAGGGACGTTCCACTCTGTGAGTTGAATACACACAGCACAAAGAAGTTACTGAGAATTCTTCTGTCTAGCATGAAATGAAGAAATCCCGTTTCCAACGAAGGCCTCAATGCAGTCCATATATCCACTTGCAGACTTTACAAACAGAGTGTTTCCAAACTGCTCTATGAAAAGAAAGGTTAAACTATGTGAGTTGAACGCACACATCACAAAGAATTTTCTGAGAATGATTCTGTCTGGTTTTTATATGAAGATATTTCCCTTTCTACTGTTGGCATCAAATGGCTAGAAATCTCCACTTGCAAATTCCGCAAAAAGAGTGTTTCAAATCTGCTCTGTCTAAAGGGACGTTCCACTCTGTGAGTTGAATGCACACAACACAAAGAATTTACTGAGAATTCTTCCGTCTAGCATTCAATGAAGAAATCCCGTTTCCAACGGAGGCCTCAAACAGGTCCATATATCCAATTGCAGACTTTACAAACAGTGTGTTTCCAAACTCCTCTATGAAAAGAAAGGTTAAACTCTGTGAGTTGAACGCACACATCACAAAGCACTTTCTGAGAATGATTCTGTCTGGTTATTATACGAAGATATTTCCTTTTCTGCAATTGTCCTCAAATCGCTTGAAATCTCCACCTGAAAATGCCACAGCAAGAGTGTTTCAAATCTGCTCTCTCTAAAGCAAGGTTCAACTCTGTGAGTTGAATACACACAACACAAAAAAGTTACTGAGAACTCTTCTTAGTCTAGCATTAAAGGAAGAAACCCCGTTTGCACCGAAGGCCTCGAAGAGGTCCAAATATCCACTTGCAGACATAACAAGCAGAGTGTTTCTAAACTGCTCTAAGAAAAGAAAGGTTAAACTCTGTGAGTTGAAGGCACACATCACAAAGTAGTTTCTGAGAATGATTCTGTCTAGTTTTTATTTGAAGATATTTCCTTTTCTACTGTTGGCATCAAATCGCTTGAAATCTCCACTTGCAAATTCCACAAAAAGAGTGTTTCAAATCTGCTCTGTGCAAAGGGACGTTCCACTCTGTGAGTTGAATACACACAGCACAAAAGAAGTTACTGAGAATTCTTCTGTCTAGCATGAAATGAAGAAATCCCGTTTCCAACGAAGGCCTCAATGCGGTCCATATATCCACTTGCAGACTTTACAAACAGAGTGTTTCCAAACTGCTCTATGAAAAGAAAGGTTAAACTATGTGAGTTGAACGCACACATCACAAAGAATTTTCTGACAATGATTCTGTCTGGTTTTTATTTGAAGATATTTCCCTTTCTACTGTTGGCATCAAATGGCTAGAAATCTCCACTTGCAAATTCCGCAAAAAGAGTGTTTCAAATCTGCTCTGTCTAAAGGGACGTTCCACTCTGTGAGTTGAATGCACACAACATAAAGAATTTACTGAGAATTCTTCCGTCTAGCAGTCAATGAAGAAATCCCGTTTCCAACGAAGGCCTCAAACAGGTCCATATATCCAATTGCAGACTTTACAAACAGTGTGTTTCCAAACTCCTCTATGAAAAGAAAGGTTAAACTCTGTGAGTTGAACGCACACATCACAAAGCACTTTCTGAGAATGAT
>NC_000007.14:58169653-58272662 GCF_000001405.40 Homo sapiens | reverse complement strand
ATTCTGTCTGGTTGTTATACGAAGATATTTCCATTTCGGCAATTGTCCTCCAAATTATTGAAATTTCCGGGAGGACATTCAAACCAAAGGCAAAGAAGTTGCAAACTTTCAAAAAAATTTGGAAGAATGTATAACTAGAATTCTTAGTCTAGCATTAAAGGAAGAAACCCCGTTTGCAACGAAGGCCTCAAAGAGGTCCAAATATCCATTTGCAGACATAACAAGCAGAGTGTTTCTAAACTGCTCTAAGAAAAGAAAGGTTAAACTCTGTGAGTTGAAGGCACACATCACAAAGTAGTTTCTGAGAATGATTCTGTCTAGTTTTTATTTGAAGATATTTCCTTTTCTACTGTTGGCATCAAATCGCTTGAAATCTCCAATTGCAAACTCCACAAAAAGAGTGTTTCAAATCTGCTCTGTGCAAAGGGACGTTCCACTCTGTGAGTTGAATACACACAGCACAAAGAAGTTACTGAGAATTCTTCTGTCTAGCATGAAATGAAGAAATCCCGTTTCCAACGAAGGCCTCAATGCGGTCCATATATCCACTTGCAGACTTTACAAACAGAGTGTTTCCAAACTGCTCTATGAAAAGAAAGGTTAAACTATGTGAGTTGAACACACACATCACAAAGAATTTTCTGAGAATGATTCTGTCTGGTTTTTATTTGAAGATATTTCCCTTTCTACTGTTGGCATCAAATGGCTAGAAATCTCCACTTGCAAATTCCGCCAAAAAGTGTTTCAAATCTGCTCTGTCTAAAGGGACGTTCCACTCTGTGAGTTGAATGCACACAACACAAAGAATTTACTGAGAATTCTTCCGTCTAGCATTCAATGAAGAAATCCCGTTTCCAACGAAGGCCTCAAACAGGTCCATATATCCAATTGCAGACTTTACAAACAGTGTGTTTCCAAACTCCTCTATGAAAAGAAAGGTTAAACTCTGTGAGTTGAACGCACACATCACAAAGCACTTTCTGAGAATGATTCTGTCTGGTTATTATACGAAGATATTTCCTTTTCTGCAATTGTCCTCAAATCGCTTGAAATCTCCACCTGAAAATGCCACAGCAAGAGTGTTTCAAATCTGCTCTCTCTAAAGCAAGGTTCAACTCTGTGAGTTGAATACACACAACACAAAAAAGTTACTGAGAACTCTTCTTAGTCTAGCATGAAAGGAAGAAACCCCGTTTGCAACGAAGGCCTCAAAGAGGTCCAAATATCCACTTGCAGACATAACAAGCAGAGTGTTTCTAAACTGCTCTAAGAAAAGAAAGGTTAAACTCTGTGAGTTGAAGGCACACATCACAAAGTAGTTTCTGAGAATGATTCTGTCTAGTTTTTATTTGAAGATATTTCCTTTTCTACTGTTGGCATCAAATCGCTTGAAATCTCCACTTGCAAACTCCACAAAAAGAGTGTTTCAAATCTGCTCTGTGTAAAGGGACGTTCCACTCTGTGAGTTGAATACACACAGCACAAAGAAGTTACTGAGAATTCTTCTGTCTAGCATGAAATGAAGAAATCCCGTTTCCAACGAAGGCCTCAATGCGGTCCATATATCCACTTGCAGACTTTACAAACAGAGTGTTTCCAAACTGCTCTATGAAAAGAAAGGTTAAACTATGTGAGTTGAACGCACACATCACAAAGAATTTTCTGAGAATGATTCTGTCTGGTTTTTATTGGAAGATATTTCCCTTTCTACTGTTGGCATCAAATGGCTAGAAATCTCCACTTGCAAATTCCGCAAAAAGAGTGTTTCAAATCTGCTCTGTCTAAAGGGACGTTCCACTCTGTGAGTTGAATGCACACAACACAAAGAATTTACTGAGAATTCTTCCGTCTAGCATTCAATGAAGAAATCCCGTTTCCAACGAAGGCCTCAAACAGGTCCATATATCCACTTGCAGAGTTTACAAACAGTGTGTTTCCAAACTCCTCTATGAAAAGAAAGGTTAAACTCTGTGAGTGGAACGCACACATCACAAAGCACTTTCTGAGAATGATTCTGTCTGGTTATTATACGAAGATATTTCCTTTTCTGCAATTGTCCTCAAATCGCTTGAAATCTCCACCTGAAAATGCCACAGCAAGAGTGTTTCAAATCTGCTCTCTCTAAAGCAAGGTTCAACTCTGTGAGTTGAATACACACAACACAAAAAAGTTACTGAGAACTCTTCTTAGTCTAGCATGAAAGGAAGAAACCCCGTTTGCAACGAAGGCCTCAAAGAGGTCCAAATATCCACTTGCAGACATAACAAGCAGAGTGTTTCTAACCTGCTCTAAGAAAAGAAAGGTTAAACTCTGTGAGTTGAAGGCACACATCACAAAGTAGTTTCTGAGAATGATTCTGTCTAGTTTTTATTTGAAGATATTTCCTTTTCTACTGTTGGCATCAAATCGCTTGAAATCTCCACTTGCAAACTCCACAAAAAGAGTGTTTCAAATCTGCTCTGTGCAAAGGGACGTTCCACTCTGTGAGTTGAGTACACACAGCACAAAGAAGTTACTGAGAATTCTTCTGTCTAGCATGAAATGAAGAAATCCCGTTTCCAACGAAGGCCTCAATGCGGTCCATATATCCACTTGCAGACTTTACAAACAGAGTGTTTCCAAACTGCTCTATGAAAAGAAAGGTTAAACTATGTGAGTTGAACGCACACATCACAAAGAATTTTCTGAGAATGATTCTGTCTGGTTTTTATTTGAAGATATTTCCCTTTCTACTGTTGGCATCAAATGGCTAGAAATCTCCACTTGCAAATTCCGCAAAAAGAGTGTTTCAAATCTGCTCTGTCTAAAGGGACGTTCCACTCTGTCAGTTGAATGCACACAACACAAAGAATTTACTGAGAATTCTTCCGTCTAGCAGTCAATGAAGAAATCCCGTTTCCAACGAAGGCCTCAAACAGGTCCATATATCCACTTGCAGACTTTACAAACAGTGTGTTTCCAAACTCCTCTATGAAAAGAAAGGTTAAACTCTGTGAGTTGAACGCACACATCACAAAGCACTCTCTGAGAATGATTCTGTCTGGTTATTATACGAAGATATTTCCTTTTCTGCAATTGTCCTCAAATCGCTTGAAATCTCCACCTGAAAATGCCACAGCAAGAGTGTTTCAAATCTGCTCTCTCTAAAGCAAGGTTCAACTCTGTGAGTTGAATACACACAACACAAAAAAGTTACTGAGAACTCTTCTTAGTCTAGCATGAAAGGAAGAAACCCCGTTTGCAACGAAGGCCTCAAAGAGGTCCAAATATCCACTTGCAGACATAACAAGCAGAGTGTTTCTAAACTGCTCTAAGAAAAGAAAGGTTAAACTCTGTGAGTTGAAGGCACACATCACAAAGTAGTTTCTGAGAATGATTCTGTCTAGTTTTTATTTGAAGATATTTCCTTTTCTACTGCTGGCATCAAATCGCTTGAAATCTCCACTTGCAAACTCCACAAAAAGAGTGTTTCAAATCTGCTCTGTGTAAAGGGACGTTCCACTCTGTGAGTTGAATACACACAGCACAAAGAAGTTACTGAGAATTCTTCTGTCTCGCATGAAATGAAGAAATCCCGTTTCCAACGAAGGCCTCAATGCGGTCCATATATCCACTTGCAGACTTTACAAACAGAGTGTTTCCAAACTGCTCTATGAAAAGAAAGGTTAAACTATGTGAGTTGAACGCACACATCACAAAGAATTTTTCTGAGAATGATTCTGTCTGGTTTTTATTTGAAGATATTTCCCTTTCTACTGTTGGCATCAAATGGCTAGAAATCTCCACTTGCAAATTCCGCAAAAAGAGTGTTTCAAATCTGCTCTGTCTAAAGGGACGTTCCACTCTGTGAGTTGAATGCACACAACACAAAGAATTTACTGAGAATTCTTCCGTCTAGCATGCAATGAAGAAATCCCGTTTCCAACGAAGGCCTCAAACAGGTCCATATATCCAATTGCAGACTTTACAAACAGTGTGTTTCCAAACTCCTCTATGAAAAGAAAGGTTAAACTCTGTGAGTTGAACGCACACATCACAAAGCACTTTCTGAGAATGATTCTGTCTGGTTATTATACGAAGATATTTCCTTTTCTGCAATTGTCCTCAAATCGCTTGAAATCTCCACCTGAAAATGCCACAGCAAGAGTGTTTCAAATCTGCTCTCTCTAAAGCAAGGTTCAACTCTGTGAGTTGAATACACACAACACAAAAAAGTTACTGAGAACTCTTCTTAGTCTAGCATTAAAGGAAGAAACCCCGTTTGCAACGAAGGCCTCAAAGAGGTCCAAATATCCACTTGCAGACATAACAAGCAGAGTGTTTCTAAACTGCTCTAAGAAAAGAAAGGTTAAACTCTGTGAGTTGAAGGCACACATCACAAAGTAGTTTCTGAGAATGATTCTGTCTAGTTTTTATTTGAAGATATTTCCTTTTCTACTGTTGGCATCAAATCGCTTGAAATCTCCACTTGCAAATTCCACAAAAAGAGTGTTTCAAATCTGCTCTGTGCAAAGGGACGTTCCACTCTGTGAGTTGAATACACACAGCACAAAGAAGTTACTGAGAATTCTTCTGTCTAGCATGAAATGAAGAAATCCCGTTTCCAACGAAGGCCTCAATGCGGTCCATATATCCACTTGCAGACTTTACAAACAGAGTGTTTCCAAACTGCTCTATGAAAAGAAAGGTTAAACTATGTGAGTTGAACGCACACATCACAAAGAATTTTCTGAGAATGATTCTGTCTGGTTTTTATTTGAAGATATTTCCCTTTCAACTGTTGGCATCAAATGGCTAGAAATCTCCACTTGCAAATTCCGCAAAAAGAGTGTTTCAAATCTGCTCTGTCTAAAGGGACGGTTCCACTCTGTGAGTTGAATGCACACAACACAAAGAATTTACTGAGAATTCTTCCGTCTAGCATTATATGATACAATCCCGTTTCCAACGAAGGCCTCAAACAGGTCCATATATCCACTTGCAGACTTTACAAACAGTGTGTTTCCAAACTCCTGTATGAAAAGAAAGGTTAAGCTCTGTGAGTTGAACGCACGCATCACAAAGCACTTTCTGAGAATGATTCTGTCTGGTTATTATACGAAGATATTTCCTTTTCTGCAATTGTCCTCAAATCGCTTGAAATCTCCACCTGAAAATGCCACAGCAAGAGTGTTTCAAATCTGCTCTCTCTAAAGCAAGGTTCAACTCTGTGAGTTGAATACACACAACACAAAAAAGTTACTGAGAACTCTTCTTAGTCTAGCATGAAAGGAAGAAACCCCGTTTGCAACGAAGGCCTCAAAGAGGTCCAAATATCCACTTGCAGACATAACAAGCAGAGTGTTTCTAAACTGCTCTAAGAAAAGAAAGGTTAAACTCTGTGAGTTGAAGGCACACATCACAAAGTAGTTTCTGAGAATGATTCTGTCTAGTTTTTATTTGAAGATATTTCCTTTTCTACTGTTGGCATCAAATCGCTTGAAATCTCCACTTGCAAACTCCACAAAAAGAGTGTTTCAAATCTGCTCTGTGCAAAGGGACGTTCCACTCTGTGAGTTGAATACACACAGCACAAAGAAGTTACTGAGAATTCTTCTGTCTAGCATGAAATGAAGAAATCCCGTTTCCAACGAAGGCCTCAATGCGGTCCATATATCCACTTGCAGACTTTACAAACAGAGTGTTTCCAAACTGCTCTATGAAAAGAAAGGTTAAACTATGTGAGTTGAACGCACACATCACAAAGAATTTTCTGAGAATGATTCTGTCTGGTTTTTATTTGAAGATATTTCCCTTTCTACTGTTGGCATCAAATGGCTAGAAATCTCCACTTGCAAATTCCGCAAAAAGAGTGTTTCAAATCTGCTCTGTCTAAAGGGACGTTCCACTCTGTGAGTTGAATGCACACCACACAAAGAATTTACTGAGAATTCTTCCGTCTAGCATTCAATGAAGAAATCCCGTTTCCAACGAAGGCCTCAAACAGGTCCATATATCCAATTGCAGACTTTACAAACAGTGTGTTTCCAAACTCCTCTATGAAAAGAAAGGTTAAACTCTGTGAGTTGAACGCACACATCACAAAGCACTTTCTGAGAATGATTCTGTCTGGTTATTATACGAAGATATTTCCTTTTCTGCAATTGTCCTCAAATCGCTTGAAATCTCCACCTGAAAATGCCACAGCAAGAGTGTTTCAAATCTGCTCTCTCTAAAGCAAGGTTCAACTCTGTGAGTTGAATACACACAACACAAAAAAGTTACTGAGAACTCTTCTTAGTCTAGCATGAAAGGAAGAAACCCCGTTTGCAACGAAGGCCTCAAAGAGGTCCAAATATCCACTTGCAGACATAACAAGCAGAGTGTTTCTAAGCTGCTCTAAGAAAAGAAAGATTAAACTCTGTGAGTTGAAGGCACACATCACAAAGTAGTTTCTGAGAATGATTCTTCTGTCTAGTTTTTATTTGAAGATATTTCCTTTTCTACTGTTGGCATCAAATCGCTTGAAATCTCCACTTGCAAACTCCACAAAAAGAGTGTTTCAAATCTGCTCTGTGTAAAGGGACGTTCCACTCTGTGAGTTGAATACACACAGCACAAAGAAGTTACTGAGAATTCTTCTGTCTAGCATGAAATGAAGAAATCCCGTTTCCAACGAAGGCCTCAATGCGGTCCATATATCCACTTGCAGACTTTACAAACAGAGTGTTTCCAAACTGCTCTATGAAAAGAAAGGTTAAACTATGTGAGTTGAGCGCACACATCACAAAGAATTTTCTGAGAATGATTCTGTCTGGTTTTTATTTGAAGATATTTCCCTTTCTACTGTTGGCATCAAATGGCTAGAAATCTCCACTTGCAAATTCCGCAAAAAGAGTGTTTCAAATCTGCTCTGTCTAAAGGGACGTTCCACTCTGTCAGTTGAATGCACACAACACAAAGAATTTACTGAGAATTCTTCCGTCTAGCATTCAATGAAGAAATCCCGTTTCCAACGAAGGCCTCAAACAGGTCCATATATCCACTTGCAGACTTTACAAACAGTGTGTTTCCAAACTCCTCTATGAAAAGAAAGGTTAAACTCTGTGAGTGGAACGCACACATCACAAAGCACTTTCTGAGAATGATTCTGTCTGGTTATTATACGAAGATATTTCCTTTTCTGCAATTGTCCTCAAATCGCTTGAAATCTCCACCTGAAAATGCCACAGCAAGAGTGTTTCAAATCTGCTCTCTCTAAAGCAAGGTTCAACTCTGTGAGTTGAATACACACAACACAAAAAAGTTACTGAGAACTCTTCTTAGTCTAGCATTAAAGGAAGAAACCCCGTTTGCAACGAAGGCCTCAAAGAGGTCCAAATATCCACTTGCAGACATAACAAGCAGAGTGTTTCTAAACTGCTCTAAGAAAAGAAAGGTTAAACTCTGTGAGTTGAAGGCACACATCACAAAGTAGTTTCTGAGAATGATTCTGTCTAGTTTTTATTTGAAGATATTTCCTTTTCTACTGTTGGCATCAAATCGCTTGAAATCTCCACTTGCAAACTCCACAAAAAGAGTGTTTCAAATCTGCTCTGTGTAAAGGGACGTTCCACTCTGTGAGTTGAATACACACAGCACAAAGAAGTTACTGAGAATTCTTCTGTCTAGCATGAAATGAAGAAATCCCGTTTCCAACGAAGGCCTCAATGCGGTCCATATATCCACTTGCAGACTTTACAAACAGAGTGTTTCCAAACTGCTCTATGAAAAGAAAGGTTAAACTATGTGAGTTGAACGCACACATCACAAAGAAATTTCTGAGAATGATTCTGTCTGGTTTTTATTTGAAGATATTTCCCTTTCTACTGTTGGCATCAAATGGCTAGAAATCTCCACTTGCAAATTCCGCAAAAAGAGTGTTTCAAATCTGCTCTGTCTAAAGGGACGTTCCACTCTGTCAGTTGAATGCACACAACACAAAGAATTTACTGAGAATTCTTCCGCCTAGCATTCAATGAAGAAATCCCGTTTCCAACGAAGGCCTCAAACAGGTCCATATATCCAATTGCAGACTTTACAAACAGTGTGTTTCCAAACTCCTGTATGAAAAGAAAGGTTAAACTCTGTGAGTTGAACGCACACATCACAAAGCACTTTCTGAGAATGATTCTGTCTGGTTATTATACGAAGATATTTCCTTTTCTGCAATTGTCCTCAAATCGCTTGAAATCTCCACCTGAAAATGCCACAGCAAGAGTGTTTCAAATCTGCTCTCTCTAAAGCAAGGTTCAACTCTGTGAGTTGAATACACACAACACAAAAAAGTTACTGAGAACTCTTCTTAGTCTAGCATTAAAGGAAGAAACCCCGTTTGCAACGAAGGCCTCAAAGAGGTCCAAATATCCACTTGCAGACATAACAAGCAGAGTGTTTCTAAACTGCTCTAAGAAAAGAAAGGTTAAACTCTGTGAGTTGAAGGCACACATCACAAAGTAGTTTCTGAGAATGATTCTGTCTAGTTTTTATTTGAAGATATTTCCTTTTCTACTGTTGGCATCAAATCGCTTGAAATCTCCACTTGCAAACTCCACAAAAAGAGTGTTTAAAATCTGCTCTGTGCAAAGGGACGTTCCACTCTGTGAGTTGAATACACACAGCACAAAGAAGTTACTGAGAATTCTTCTGTCTAGCATGAAATGAAGAAATCCCGTTTCCAACGAAGGCCTCAATGCGGTCCATATATCCACTTGCAGACTTTACAAACAGAGTGTTTCCAAACTGCTCTATGAAAAGAAAGGTTAAACTATGTGAGTTGAACGCACACATCACAAAGAATTTTCTGAGAATGATTCTGTCTGGTTTTTATTTGAAGATATTTCCCTTTCTACTGTTGGCATCAAATGGCTAGAAATCTCCACTTGCAAATTCCGCAAAAAGAGTGTTTCAAATCTGCTCTGTCTAAAGGGACGTTCCACTCTGTGAGTTGAATGCACACAACACAAAGAATTTACTGAGAATTCTTCCGTCTAGCATTCAATGAAGAAATCCCGTTTCCAACGAAGGCCTCAAACAGGTCCATATATCCAATTGCAGACTTTACAAACAGTGTGTTTCCAAACTCCTCTATGAAAAGAAAGGTTAAACTCTGTGAGTTGAATGCACACATCACAAAGCACTTTCTGAGAGTGATTCTGTCTGGTTATTATACGAAGATATTTCCTTTTCTGCAATTGTCCTCAAATCGCTTGAAATCTCCACCTGAAAATGCCACAGCAAGAGTGTTTCAAATCTGCTCTCTCTAAAGCAAGGTTCAACTCTGTGAGTTGAATACACACAACACAAAAAAGTTACTGAGAACTCTTCTTAGTCTAGCATGAAAGGAAGAAACCCCGTTTGCAACGAAGGCCTCAAAGAGGTCCAAATATCCACTTGCAGACATAACAAGCAGAGTGTTTCTAAACTGCTCTAAGAAAAGAAAGGTTAAACTCTGTGAGTTGAAGGCACACATCACAAAGTAGTTTCTGAGAATGATTCTGTCTAGTTTTTATTTGAAGATATTTCCTTTTCTACTGTTGGCATCAAATCGCTTGAAATCTCCACTTGCAAACTCCACAAAAAGAGTGTTTCAAATCTGCTCTGTGTAAAGGGACGTTCCACTCTGTGAGTTGAATACACACAGCACAAAGAAGTTACTGAGAATTCTTCTGTCTAGCATGAAATGAAGAAATACCGTTTCCAACGAAGGCCTCAATGCGGTCCATATATCCACTTGCAGACTTTACAAACAGAGTGTTTCCAAACTGCTCTATGAAAAGAAAGGTTAAACTATGTGAGTTGAACGCACACATCACAAAGAATTTTCTGAGAATGATTCTGTCTGGTTTTTATTTGAAGATATTTCCCTTTCTACTGTTGGCATCAAATGGCTAGAAATCTCCACTTGCAAATTCCGCAAAAAGAGTGTTTCAAATCTGCTCTGTCTAAAGGGACGTTCCACTCTGTCAGTTGAATGCACACAACACAAAGAATTTACTGAGAATTCTTCCGTCTAGCATTCAATGAAGAAATCCCGTTTCCAATGAAGGCCTCAAACAGGTCCATATATCCAATTTCAGACTTTACAAACAGTGTGTTTCCAAACTCCTCTATGAAAAGAAAGGTTAAACTCTGTGAGTTGAACGCACACATCACAAAGCACTTTCTGAGAATGATTCTGTCTGGTTGTTATACGAAGATATTTCCTTTTCTGAAATTGTCCTCAAATCGCTTGAAATCTCCACCTGAAAATGCCACAGCAAGAGTGTTTCAAATCTGCTCTCTCTAAAGCAAGGTTCAGCTCTGTGAGTTGAATACACACAACACAAAAAAGTTACTGAGAACTCTTCTTAGTCTAGCATGAAAGGAAGAAACCCCGTTTGCAACGAAGGCCTCAAAGAGGTCCAAATATCCACTTGCAGACATAACAAGCAGAGTGTTTCTAAACTGCTCTAAGAAAAGAAAGGTTAAACTCTGTGAGTTGAAGGCACACATCACAAAGTAGTTTCTGAGAATGATTCTGTCTAGTTTTTATTTGAAGATATTTCATTTTCTACTGTTGGCATCAAATCGCTTGAAATCTCCACTTGCAAACTCCACAAAAAGAGTGTTTCAAATCTGCTCTGTGTAAAGGGACGTTCCACTCTGTGAGTTGAATACACACAGCACAAAGAAGTTACTGAGAATTCTTCTGTCTAGCATGAAATGAAGAAATCCCGTTTCCAACGAAGGCCTCAATGCGGTCCATAGATCCACTTGCAGACTTTACAAACAGAGTGTTTCCAAACTGCTCTATGAAAAGAAAGGTTAAACTATGTGAGTTGAACGCACACATCACAAAGAATTTTCTGAGAATGATTCTGTCTGGTTTTTATTTGAAGATATTTCCCTTTCTACTGTTGGCATCAAATGGCTAGAAATCTCCACTTGCAAATTCCGCAAAAAGAGTGTTTCAAATCTGCTCTGTCTAAAGGGACGTTCCACTCTGTGAGTTGAATGCACACAACACAAAGAATTTACTGAGAATTCTTCCGTCTAGCATTCAATGAAGAAATCCCGTTTCCAACGAAGGCCTCAAACAGGTCCATATATCCACTTGCAGACTTTACAAACAGTGTGTTTCCAAACTCCTCTATGAAAAGAAAGGTTAAACTCTGTGAGTGGAACGCACACATCACAAAGCACTTTCTGAGAATGATTCTGTCTGGTTATTATACGAAGATATTTCCTTTTCTGCAATTGTCCTCAAATCGCTTGAAATCTCCACCTGAAAATGCCACAGCAAGAGTGTTTCAAATCTGCTCTCTCTAAAGCAAGGTTCAACTCTGTGAGTTGAATACACACAACACAAAAAAGTTACTGAGAACTCTTCTTAGTCTAGCATTAAACGAAGAAACCCCGTTTGCAACGAAGGCCTCAAAGAGGTCCCAATATCCACTTGCAGACATAACAAGCAGAGTGTTTCTAAACTGCTCTAAGAAAAGAAAGGTTAAACTCTGTGAGTTGAAGGCACACATCACAAAGTAGTTTCTGAGAATGATTCTGTCTAGTTTTTATTTGAAGATATTTCCTTTTCTACTGTTGGCATCAAATCGCTTGAAATCTCCACTTGCAAACTCCACAAAAAGAGTGTTTCAAATCTGCTCTGTGCAAAGGGACGTTCCACTCTGTGAGTTGAATACACACAGCACAAAGAAGTTACTGAGAATTCTTCTGTCTAGCATGAAATGAAGAAATCCCGTTTCCAACGAAGGCCTCAATGCGGTCCATATATCCACTTGCAGACTTTACAAACAGAGTGTTTCCAAACTGCTCTATGAAAAGAAAGGTTAAACTATGTGAGTTGAACGCACACATCACAAAGAATTTTCTGAGAATGATTCTGTCTGGTTTTTATTTGAAGATATTTCCCTTTCTACTGTTGGCATCAAATGGCTAGAAATCTCCACTTGCAAATTCCGCAAAAAGAGTGTTTCAAATCTGCTCTGTCTAAAGGGACGTTCCACTCTGTGAGTTGAATGCACACAACACAAAGAATTTACTGAGAATTCCTCCGTCTAGCATTCAATGAAGAAATCCCGTTTCCAACGAAGGCCTCAAACAGGTCCATATATCCACTTGCAGAGTTTACAAACAGTGTGTTTCCAAACTCCTCTATGAAAAGAAAGGTTAAACTCTGTGAGTGGAACGCACACATCACAAAGCACTTTCTGAGAATGATTCTGTCTGGTTATTATACGAAGATATTTCCTTTTCTGCAATTGTCCTCAAAACGCTTGAAATCTCCACCTGAAAATGCCACAGCAAGAGTGTTTCAAATCTGCTCTCTCTAAAGCAAGGTTCAACTCTGTGAGTTGAATACACACAACACAAAAAAGTTACTGAGAACTCTTCTTAGTCTAGCATGAAAGGAAGAAATCCCGTTTGCAACGAAGGCCTCAAAAGAGGTCCAAATATCCACTTGCAGACATAACAAGCAGAGTGTTTCTAAACTGCTCTAAGAAAAGAAAGGTTAAACTCTGTGAGTTGAAGGCACACATTACAAAGTAGTTTCTGAGAATGATTCTGTCTAGTTTTTATTTGAAGATATTTCCTTTTCTACTGTTGGCATCAAATCGCTTGAAATCTCCACTTGCAAACTCCACAAAAAGTGTGTTTCAAATCTGCTCTGTGTAAAGGGACGTTCCACTCTGTGAGTTGAATACACACAGCACAAAGAAGTTACTGAGAATTCTTCTGTCTAGCATGAAATGAAGAAATCCCGTTTCCAACGAAGGCCTCAATGCGGTCCATATATCCACTTGCAGACTTTACAAACAGAGTGTTTCCAAACTGCTCTATGAAAAGAAAGGTTAAACTATGTGAGTTGAACGCACACATCACAAAGAATTTTCTGAGAATGATTCTGTCTGGTTTTTATTTGAAGATATTTCCCTTTCTACTGTTGGCATCAAATGGCTAGAAATCTCCACTTGCAAATTCCGCAAAAAGAGTGTTTCAAATCTGCTCTGTCTAAAGGGACGTTCCACTCTGTGAGTTGAATGCACACAACACAAAGAATTTACTGAGAATTCTTCCGTCTAGCATTCAATGAAGAAATCCCGTTTCCAACGAAGGCCTCAAACAGGTCCATATATCCACTTGCAGACTTTACAAACAGTGTGTTTCCAAACTCCTCTATGAAAAGAAAGGTTAAACTCTGTGAGTGGAACGCACACATCACAAAGCACTTTCTGAGAATGATTCTGTCTGGTTATTATACGAAGATATTTCCTTTTCTGCAATTGTCCTCAAAACGCTTGAAATCTCCACCTGAAAATGCCACAGCAAGAGTGTTTCAAATCTGCTCTCTCTAAAGCAAGGTTCAACTCTGTGAGTTGAATACACACAACACAAAAAAGTTACTGAGAACTCTTCTTAGTCTAGCATTAAAGGAAGAAACCCCGTTTGCAACGAAGGCCTCAAAGAGGTCCAAATATCCACTTGCAGACATAACAAGCAGAGTGTTTCTAAACTGCTCTAAGAAAAGAAAGGTTAAACTCTGTGAGTTGAAGGCACACATCACAAAGTAGTTTACTGAGAATGATTTCTGTCTAGTTTTTATTTGAAGATATTTCCTTTTCTACTGTTGGCATCAAATCGCTTGAAATCTCCACTTGCAAACTCCACAAAAAGAGTGTTTAAAATCTGCTCTGTGTAAAGGGACGTTCCACTCTGTGAGTTGAATACACACAGCACAAAGAAGTTACTGAGAATTCTTCTGTCTAGCATGAAATGAAGAAATCCCGTTTCCAACGAAGGCCTCAATGCGGTCCATATATCCACTTGCAGACTTTACAAACAGAGTGTTTCCAAACTGCTCTATGAAAAGAAAGGTTAAACTATGTGAGTTGAACGCACACATCACAAATAATTTTCTGAGAATGATTCTGTCTGGTTTTTATTTGAAGATATTTCCCTTTCTACTGTTGGCATCAAATGGCTAGAAATCTCCACTTGCAAATTCCGCAAAAAGAGTGTTTCAAATCTGCTCTGTCTAAAGGGACGTTCCACTCTGTGAGTTGAATGCACACAACACAAAGAATTTACTGAGAATTCTTCCGTCTAGCATTCAATGAAGAAATCCCGTTTCCAACGAAGGCCTCAAAGAGGTCCATATATCCACTTGCAGACTTTACAAACAGTGTGTTTCCAAACTCCTCTATGAAAAGAAAGGTTAAACTCTGTGAGTGGAACGCACACATCACAAAGCACTTTCTGAGAATGATTTTGTCTGGTTATTATACGAAGATATTTCCTTTTCTGCAATTGTCCTCAAATCGCTTGAAATCTCCACCTGAAAATGCCACAGCAAGAGTGTTTCAAATCTGCTCTCTCTAAAGCAAGGTTCAACTCTGTGAGTTGAATACACACAACACAAAAAAGTTACTGAGAACTCTTCTTAGTCTAGCATGAAAGGAAGAAACCCCGTTTGCAACGAAGGCCTCAAAGAGGTCCAAATATCCACTTGCAGACATAACAAGCAGAGTGTTTCTAAACTGCTCTAAGAAAAGAAAGGTTAAACTCTGTGAGTTGAAGGCACACATCACAAAGTAGTTTCTGAGAATGATTCTGTCTAGTTTTTATTTGAAGATATTTCCTTTTCTACTGTTGGCATCAAATCGCTTGAAATCTCCACTTGCAAATTCCACAAAAAGAGTGTTTCAAATCTGCTCTGTGCAAAGGGACGTTCCACTCTGTGAGTTGAATACACACAGCACAAAGAAGTTACTGAGAATTCTTCTGTCTAGCATGAAATGAAGAAATCCCGTTTCCAACGAAGGCCTCAATGCGGTCCATATATCCACTTGCAGACTTTACAAACAGAGTGTTTCCAAACTGCTCTATGAAAAGAAAGGTTAAACTATGTGAGTTGAACGCACACATCACAAAGAATTTTCTGAGAATGATTCTGTCTGGTTTTTATTTGAAGATGTTTCCCTTTCTACTGTTGGCATCAAATGGCTAGAAATCTCCACTTGCAAATTCCGCAAAAAGAGTGTTTCAAATCTGCTCTGTCTAAAGGGACGTTCCACTCTGTCAGTTGAATGCACACAACACAAAGAATTTACTGAGAATTCTTCCGTGTAGCATTCAATGAAGAAATCCCGTTTCCAACGAAGGCCTCAAACAGGTCCATATATCCACTTGCAGACTTTACAAACAGTGTGTTTCCAAACTCCTCTATGAAAAGAAAGGTTAAACTCTGTGAGTTGAACGCACACATCACAAAGCACTTTCTGAGAATGATTCTGTCTGGTTATTATACGAAGATATTTCCTTTTCTGCAATTGTCCTCAAATCGCTTGAAATCTCCACCTGAAAATGCCACAGCAAGAGTGTTTCAAATCTGCTCTCTCTAAAGCAAGGTTCAACTCTGTGAGTTGAATACACACAACACAAAAAAGTTACTGAGAACTCTTCTTAGTCTAGCATGAAAGGAAGAAACCCCGTTTGCAACGAAGGCCTCAAAGAGGTCCAAATATCCACTTGCAGACATAACAAGCAGAGTGTTTCTAAACTGCTCTAAGAAAAGAAAGGTTGAACTCTGTGAGTTGAAGGCACACATCACAAAGTAGTTTCTGAGAATGATTCCTGTCTAGTTTTTATTTGAAGATATTTCCTTTTCTACTGTTGGCATCAAATCGCTTGAAATCTCCAATTGCAAACTCCACAAAAAGAGTGTTTCAAATCTGCTCTGTGCAAAGGGACGTTCCACTCTGTGAGTTGAATACACACAGCACAAAGAAGTTACTGAGAATTCTTCTGTCTAGCATGAAATGAAGAAATCCCGTTTCCAACGAAGGCCTCAATGCGGTCCATATATCCACTTGCAGACTTTACAAACAGAGTGTTTCCAAACTGCTCTATGAAAAGAAAGGTAAAACTATGTGAGTTGAACGCACACATCACAAAGAATTTTCTGAGAATGATTCTGTCTGGTTTTTATTTGAAGATATTTCCCTTTCTACTGTTGGCATCAAATGGCTAGAAATCTCCACTTGCAAATTCCGCAAAAAGAGTGTTTCAAATCTGCTCTGTCTAAAGGGACGTTCCACTCTGTGAGTTGAATGCACACAACACAAAGAATTTACTGAGAATTCTTCCGTCTAGCATTCAATGAAGAAATCCCGTTTCCAAAGAAGGCCTCAAACAGGTCCATATATCCAATTGCAGACTTTACAAACAGTGTGTTTCCAAACTCCTCTATGAAAAGAAAGGTTAAACTCTGTGAGTTGAACGCACACATCACAAAGCACTTTCTGAGAATGATTCTGTCTGGTTATTATACGAAGATATTTCCTTTTCTGCAATTGTCCTCAAATCGCTTGAAATCTCCACCTGAAAATGCCACAGCAAGAGTGTTTCAAATCTGCTCTCTCTAAAGCAAGGTTCAACTCTGTGAGTTGAATACACGCAACACAAAAAAGTTACTGAGAACTCTTCTTAGTCTAGCATGAAAGGAAGAAACCCCGTTTGCAACGAAGGCCTCAAAGTAGGTCCAAATATCCACTTGCAGACATAACAAGCAGAGTGTTTCTAAACTGCTCTAAGAAAAGAAAGGTTAAACTCTGTGAGTTGAAGGCACACATCACAAAGTAGTTTCTGAGAATGATTCTGTCTAGTTTTTATTTGAAGATATTTCCTTTTCTACTGTTGGCATCAAATCGCTTGAAATCTCCACTTGCAAACTCCACAAAAAGAGTGTTTCAAATCTGCTCTGTGCAAAGGGACGTTCCACTCTGTGAGTTGAATACACACAGCACAAAGAAGTTACTGAGAATTCTTCTGTCTAGCATGAAATGAAGAAATCCCGTTTCCAACGAAGGCCTCAATGCGGTCCATATATCCACTTGCAGACTTTACAAACAGAGTGTTTCCAAACTGCTCTATGAAAAGAAAGGTTAAACTATGTGAGTTGAACGCACACATCACAAAGAATTTTCTGAGAATGATTCTGTCTGGTTTTTATTTGAAGATATTTCCCTTTCTACTGTTGGCATCAAATGGCTAGAAATCTCCACTTGCAAATTCCGCAAAAAGAGTGTTTCAAATCTGCTCTGTCTAAAGGGACGTTCCACTCTGTGAGTTGAATGCACACAACACAAAGAATTTACTGAGAATTCTTCCGTCTAGCATTCAATGAAGAAATCCCGTTTCCAACGAAGGCCTCAAACAGGTCCATATATCCACTTGCAGACTTTACAAACAGTGTGTTTCCAAACTCCTCTATGAAAAGAAAGGTTAAACTCTGTGAGTGGAACGCACACATCACAAAGCACTTTCTGAGAATGATTCTGTCTGGTTATTATACGAAGATATTTCCTTTTCTGCAATTGTCCTCAAATCGCTTGAAATCTCCACCTGAAAATGCCACAGCAAGAGTGTTTCAAATCTGCTCTCTCTAAAGCAAGGTTCAGCTCTGTGAGTTGAATACACACAACACAAAAAAGTTACTGAGAACTCTTCTTAGTCTAGCATGAAAGGAAGAAACCCCGTTTGCAACGAAGGCCTCAAAGAGGTCCAAATATCCACTTGCAGACATAACAAGCAGAGTGTTTCTAAACTGCTCTAAGAAAAGAAAGGTTAAACTCTGTGAGTTGAAGGCACACATCACAAAGTAGTTTCTGAGAATGATTCTGTCTAGTTTTTATTTGAAGATATTTCCTTTTCTACTGTTGGCATCAAATCGCTTGAAATCTCCACTTGCAAATTCCACAAAAAGAGTGTTTCAAATCTGCTCTGTGCAAAGGGACGTTCCACTCTGTGAGTTGAATACACACAGCACAAAGAAGTTACTGAGAATTCTTCTGTCTAGCATGAAATGAAGAAATCCCGTTTCCAACGAAGGCCTCAATGCGGTCCATAGATCCACTTGCAGACTTTACAAACAGAGTGTTTCCAAACTGCTCTATGAAAAGAAAGGTTAAACTATGTGAGTTGAACGCACACATCACAAAGAATTTTCTGAGAATGATTCTGTCTGGTTTTTATTTGAAGATATTTCCCTTTCTACTGTTGGCATCAAATGGCTAGAAATCTCCACTTGCAAATTCCGCAAAAAGAGTGTTTCAAATCTGCTCTGTCTAAAGGGACGTTCCACTCTGTGAGTTGAATGCACACCACACAAAGAATTTACTGAGAATTCTTCCGTCTAGCATTCAATGAAGAAATCCCGTTTCCAACGAAGGCCTCAAACAGGTCCATATATCCAATTGCAGACTTTACAAACAGTGTGTTTCCAAACTCCTCTATGAAAAGAAAGGTTAAACTCTGTGAGTTGAACGCACACATCACAAAGCACTTTCTGAGAATGATTCTGTCTGGTTGTTATACGAAGATATTTCCTTTTCTGCAATTGTCCTCAAATCGCTTGAAATCTCCACCTGAAAATGCCACAGCAAGAGTGTTTCAAATCTGCTCTCTCTAAAGCAAGGTTCAACTCTGTGAGTTGAATACACACAACACAAAAAAGTTACTGAGAACTCTTCTTAGTCTAGCATGAAAGGAAGAAACCCCGTTTGCAACGAAGGCCTCAAAGAGGTCCAAATATCCACTTGCAGACATAACAAGCAGAGTGTTTCTAAACTGCTCTAAGAAAAGAAAGGTTAAACTCTGTGAGTTGAAGGCACACATCACAAAGTAGTTTCTGAGAATGATTCTGTCTAGTTTTTATTTGAAGATATTTCCTTTTCTACTGTTGGCATCAAATCGCTTGAAATATCCACTTGCAAACTCCACAAAAAGAGTGTTTCAAATCTGCTCTGTGCAAAGGGACGTTCCACTCTGTGAGTTGAATACACACAGCACAAAGAAGTTACTGAGAATTCTTGTCTAGCATGAAATGAAGAAATCCCGTTTCCAACGAAGGCCTCAATGCGGTCTATATATCCACTTGCAGACATCACAAACAGAGTGTTTCCAAACTGCTCTATGAAAAGAAAGGTTAAACTATGTGAGTTGAACGCACACATCACAAAGAATTTTCTGAGAATGATTCTGTCTGGTTTTTATTTGAAGATATTTCCCTTTCTACTGTTGGCATCAAATGGCTAGAAATCTCCACTTGCAAATTCCGCAAAAAGAGTGTTTCAAATCTGCTGTGTCTAAAGGGACGTTCCACTCTGTGAGTTGAATGCACACAACACAAAGAATTTACTGAGAATTCTTCCGTCTAGCATTCAATGAAGAAATCCCGTTTCCAACGAAGGCCTCAAACAGGTCCATATATCCAATTGCAGACTTTACAAACAGTGTGTTTCCAAACTCCTCTATGAAAAGAAAGGTTAAACTCTGTGAGTTGAACGCACACAACACAAAGCACTTTCTGAGAATGATTCTGTCTGGTTATTATACGAAGATATTTCCTTTTCTGCAATTGTCCTCAAATCGCTTGAAATCTCCACCTGAAAATGCCACAGCAAGAGTGTTTCAAATCTGCTCTCTCTAAAGCAAGGTTCAACTCTGTGAGTTGAATACACACAACACAAAAAAGTTACTGAGAACTCTTCTTAGTCTAGCATGAAAGGAAGAAACCCCGTTTGCAACGAAGGCCTCAAAGAGGTCCAAATATCCACTTGCAGACATAACAAGCAGAGTGTTTCTAAACTGCTCTAAGAAAAGAAAGGTTAAACTCTGTGAGTTGAAGGCACACATCACAAAGTAGTTTCTGAGAATGATTCTGTCTAGTTTTTATTTGAAGATATTTCCTTTTCTACTGTTGGCATCAAATCGCTTGAAATCTCCACTTGCAAACTCCACAAAAAGAGTGTTTCAAATCTGCTCTGTGTAAAGGGACGTTCCACTCTGTGAGTTGAATACACACAGCACAAAGAAGTTACTGAGAATTCTTCTGTCTAGCATGATATGAAGAAATCCCGTTTCCAACGAAGGCCTCAATGCGGTCCATATATCCACTTGCAGACTTTACAAACAGAGTGTTTCCAAACTGCTCTATGAAAAGAAAGGTTAAACTATGTGAGTTGAACGCACACATCACAAAGAATTTTCTGAGAATGATTCTGTCTGGTTTTTATTTGAAGATATTTCCCTTTCTACTGTTGGCATCAAATGGCTAGAAATCTCCACTTGCAAATTCCGCAAAAAGAGTGTTTCAAATCTGCTCTGTCTAAAGGGACGTTCCACTCTGTGAGTTGAATGCACACAACACAAAGAATTTACTGAGAATTCTTCCGTCTAGCATTCAATGAAGAAATCCCGTTTCCAACGAAGGCCTCAAACAGGTCCATATATCCACTTGCAGACTTTACAAACAGTGTGTTTCCAAACTCCTCTATGAAAAGAAAGGTTAAACTCTGTGAGTTGAACGCACACATCACAAAGCACTTTCTGAGAATGATTCTGTCTGGTTATTATACGAAGATATTTCCTTTTCTGCAATTGTCCTCAAATCGCTTGAAATCTCCACCTGAAAATGCCACAGCAAGAGTGTTTCAAATCTGCTGTCTCTAAAGCAAGGTTCAACTCTGTGAGTTGAATACACACAACACAAAAAAGTTACTGAGAACTCTTCTTAGTCTAGCATGAAAGGAAGAAACCCCGTTTGCAACGAAGGCCTCAAAGAGGTCCAAATATCCACTTGCAGACATAACAAGCAGAGTGTTTCTAAACTGCTCTAAGAAAAGAAAGGTTAAACTCTGTGAGTTAAAGGCACACATCACAAAGTAGTTTCTGAGAATGATTCTGTCTAGTTTTTATTTGAAGATATTTCCTTTTCTACTGTTGGCATCAAATCGCTTGAAATCTCCACTTGCAAACTCCACAAAAAGAGTGTTTCAAATCTGCTCTGTGCAAAGGGACGTTCCACTCTGTGAGTTGAATACACACAGCACAAAGAAGTTACTGAGAATTCTTCTGTCTAGCATGAAATGAAGAAATCCCGTTTCCAACGAAGGCCTCAATGCGGTCCATATATCCACTTGCAGACTTTACAAACAGAGTGTTTCCAAACTGCTCTATGAAAAGAAAGGTTAAACTATGTGAGTTGAAAGCACACATCACAAAGAATTTTCTGAGAATGATTCTGTCTGGTTTTTATTTGAAGATATTTCCCTTTCTACTGTTGGCATCAAATGGCTAGAAATCTCCACTTGCAAATTCCGCAAAAAGAGTGTTTCAAATCTGCTCTGTCTAAAGGGACGTTCCACTCTGTGAGTTGAATGCACACAACACAAAGAATTTACTGAGAATTCTTCCGTCTAGCATTCAATGAAGAAATCCCGTTTCCAACGAAGGCCTCAAACAGGTCCATATATCCAATTGCAGACTTTACAAACAGTGTGTTTCCAAACTCCTCTATGAAAAGAAAGGTTAAACTCTGTGAGTTGAACGCACACATCACAAAGCACTTTCTGAGAATGATTCTGTCTGGTTATTATACGAAGATATTTCCTTTTCTG
Organism: Homo sapiens; assembly: GCF_000001405.40. Classification (NCBI taxonomy): domain Eukaryota; kingdom Metazoa; phylum Chordata; class Mammalia; order Primates; family Hominidae; genus Homo; species Homo sapiens. The sequence goes on along the minus strand of NC_000007.14, from coordinate 58,251,186 downwards.
CAATTGTCCTCAAATCGCTTGAAATCTCCACCTGAAAATGCCACAGCAAGAGTGTTTCAAATCTGCTCTCTCTAAAGCAAGGTTCAACTCTGTGGGTTGAATACACACAACACAAAAAAGTTACTGAGAACTCTTCTTAGTCTAGCATTAAAGGAAGAAACCCCGTTTGCAACGAAGGCCTCAAAGAGGTCCAAATATCCACTTGCAGACATAACAAGCAGAGTGTTTCTAAACTGCTCTATGAAAAGAAAGGTTAAACTCTGTGAGTTGAAGGCACACATCACAAAGTAGTTTCTAAATGATTCTGTCTAGTTTTTATTTGAAGCATATTTCCTTTTCTACTGTTGGCATCAAATCGCTTGAAATCTCCACTTGCAAACTCCACAAAAAGAGTGTTTCAAATCTGCTCTGTGTAAAGGGACGTTCCACTCTGTGAGTTGAATACACACAGCACAAAGAAGTTACTGAGAATTCTTCTGTCTAGCATGAAATGAAGAAATCCCGTTTCCAACGAAGGCCTCAATGCGGTCCATATATCCACTTGCAGACTTTACAAACAGAGTGTTTCCAAACTGTTCTATGAAAAGAAAGGTTAAACTATGTGAGTTGAACGCACACATCACAAAGAATTTTCTGAGAATGATTCTGTCTGGTTTTTATTTGAAGATATTTCCCTTTCTACTGTTGGCATCAAATGGCTAGAAATCTCCACTTGCAAATTCCGCAAAAAGAGTGTTTCAAATCTGCTCTGTCTAAAGGGACGTTCCACTCTGTCAGTTGAATGCACACAACACAAAGAATTTACTGAGAATTCTTCCGTCTAGCATTCAATGAAGAAATCCCGTTTCCAACGAAGGCCTCAAACAGGTCCATATATCCAATTGCAGACTTTACAAACAGTGTGTTTCCAAACTCCTCTATGAAAAGAAAGGTTAAACTCTGTGAGTTGAACGCACACATCACAAAGCAATTTCTGAGAATGATTCTGTCTGGTTATTATACGAAGATATTTCCTTTTCTGCAATTGTCCTCAAATCGCTTGAAATCTCCACCTGAAAATGCCACAGCAAGAGTGTTTCAAATCTGCTCTCTCTAAAGCAAGGTTCAACTCTGTGATTTGAATACACACAACACAAAAAAGTTACTGAGAACTCTTCTTAGTCTAGCATGAAAGGAAGAAACCCCGTTTGCAACGAAGGCCTCAAAGAGGTCCAAATATCCACTTGCAGACATAACAAGCCGAGTGTTTCTAAACTGCTCTAAGAAAAGAAAGGTTAAACTCTGTGAGTTGAAGGCACACATCACAAAGTAGTTTCTGAGAATGATTCTGTCTAGTTTTTATTTGAAGATATTTCCTTTTCTACTGTTGGCATCAAATCGCTTGAAATCTCCACTTGCAAACTCCACAAAAAGAGTGTTTCAAATCTGCTCTGTGCAAAGGGACGTTCCACTCTGTGAGTTGAATACACACAGCACAAAGAAGTTACTGAGAATTCTTCTGTCTAGCATGAAATGAAGAAATCCCGTTTCCAACGAAGGCCTCAATGCGGTCCATATATCCACTTGCAGACTTTACAAACAGAGTGTTTCCAAACTGCTCTATGAAAAGAAAGGTTAAACTATGTGAGTTGAACGCACACATCACAAAGAATTTTCTGAGAATGATTCTGTCTGGTTTTTATTTGAAGATATTTCCCTTTCTACTGTTGGCATCAAATGGCTAGAAATCTCCACTTGCAAATTCCGCAAAAAGAGTGTTTCAAATCTGCTCTGTCTAAAGGGACGTTCCACTCTGTGAGTTGAATGCACACAACACAAAGAATTTACTGAGAATTCTTCCGTCTAGCATTCAATGAAGAAATCCCGTTTCCAACGAAGGCCTCAAACAGGTCCATATATCCAATTGCAGACTTTACAAACAGTGTGTTTCCAAACTCCTCTATGAAAAGAAAGGTTAAACTCTGTGAGTTGAACGCACACATCACAAAGCACTTTCTGAGAATGATTCTGTCTGGTTGTTATACGAAGATATTTCCTTTTCTGCAATTGTCCTCAAATCGCTTGAAATCTCCACCTGAAAATGCCACAGCAAGAGTGTTTCAAATCTGCTCTCTCTAAAGCAAGGTTCAGCTCTGTGAGTTGAATACACACAACACAAAAAAGTTACTGAGAACTCTTCTTAGTCTAGCATTAAAGGAAGAAACCCCGTTTGCAACGAAGGCCTCAAAGAGGTCCAAATATCCACTTGCAGACATAACAAGCAGAGTGTTTCTAAACTGCTCTAAGAAAAGAAAGGTTAAACTCTGTGAGTTGAAGGCACACATCACAAAGTAGTTTCTGAGAATGATTCTGTCTAGTTTTTATTTGAAGATATTTCCTTTTCTACTGTTGGCATCAAATCGCTTGAAATCTCCACTTGCAAATTCCACAAAAAGAGTGTTTCAAATCTGCTCTGTGCAAAGGGACGTTCCACTCTGTGAGTTGAATACACACAGCACAAAGAAGTTACTGAGAATTCTTCTGTCTAGCATGAAATGAAGAAATCCCGTTTCCAACGAAGGCCTCAAAGCGGTCCATTTATCCACTTGCAGACATTACCAACAGAGTGTTCCCAAACTGCTCTATGAAAAGAAAGGTTAAACTATGTGAGTTGAACGCACACATCCCAAAGAATTTTCTGAGAATGATTCTGTCTGGTTTTTATTTGAAGATATTTCCCTTTCTACTGTTGGCATCAAATGGCTAGAAATCTCCACTTGCAAATTCCGCAAAAAGAGTGTTTCAAATCTGCTCTGTCTAAAGGGACGTTCCACTCTGTGAGTTGAATGCACACCACACAAAGAATTTACTGAGAATTCTTCCGTCTAGCATTCAATGAAGAAATCCCGTTTCCAACGAAGGCCTCAAACAGGTCCATATATCCACTTGCAGACTTTACAAACAGTGTGTTTCCAAACTCCTCTATGAAAAGAAAGGTTAAACTCTGTGAGTGGAACGCACACATCACAAAGCACTTTCTGAGAATGATTCTGTCTGGTTATTATACGAAGATATTTCCTTTTCTGCAATTGTCCTCAAAACGCTTGAAATCTCCACCTGAAAATGCCACAGCAAGAGTGTTTCAAATCTGCTCTCTCTAAAGCAAGGTTCAACTCTGTGAGTTGAATACACACAACACAAAAAAGTTACTGAGAACTCTTCTTAGTCTAGCATGAAAGGAAGAAACCCCGTTTGCAACGAAGGCCTCAAAGAGGTCCAAATATCCACTTGCAGACATAACAAGCAGAGTGTTTCTAAACTGCTCTAAGAAAAGAAAGGTTAAACTCTGTGAGTTGAAGGCACACATCACAAAGCAGTTTCTGAGAATGATTCTGTCTAGTTTTTATTTGAAGATATTTCCTTTTCTACTGTTTTCATCAAATCGCTTGAATTCTCCACTTGCAAACTCCACAAAAAGAGTGTTTCAAATCTGCTCTGTGTAAAGGGACGTTCCACTCTGTGAGTTGAATACACACAGCACAAAGAAGTTACTGAGAATTCTTCTGTCTAGCATGAAATGAAGAAATCCCGTTTCCAACGAAGGCCTCAAAGCGGTCCATATATCCACTTGCAGACATTACCAACAGAGTGTTCCCAAACTGCTCTATGAAAAGAAAGGTTAAACTATGTGAGTTGAACGCACACATCACAAAGAATTTTCTGAGAATGATTCTGTCTGGTTTTTATTTGAAGATATTTCCCTTTCTACTGTTGGCATCAAATGGCTAGAAATCTCCACTTGCAAATTCCGCAAAAAGAGTGTTTCAAATCTGCTGTGTCTAAAGGGACGTTCCACTCTGTGAGTTGAATGCACACAACACAAAGAATTTACTGAGAATTCTTCCGTCTAGCATTCAATGAAGAAATCCCGTTTCCAACGAAGGCCTCAAACAGGTCCATATATCCACTTGCAGACTTTACAAACAGTTTGTTTCCAAACTCCTCTATGAAAAGAAAGGTTAAACTCTGTGAGTGGAACGCACACATCACAAAGCACTTTCTGAGAATGATTCTGTCTGGTTATTATACGAAGATATTTCCTTTTCTGCAATTGTCCTCAAATCGCTTGAAATCTCCACCTGAAAATGCCACAGCAAGAGTGTTTCAAATCTGCTCTCTCTAAAGCAAGGTTCAACTCTGTGAGTTGAATACACACAACACAAAAAAGTTACTGAGAACTCTTCTTAGTCTAGCATGAAAGGAAGAAACCCCGTTTGCAACGAAGGCCTCAAAGAGGTCCAAATATCCACTTGCAGACATAACAAGCAGAGTGTTTCTAAACTGCTCTAAGAAAAGAAAGGTTAAACTCTGTGAGTTGAAGGCACACATCACAAAGTAGTTTCTGAGAATGATTCTGTCTAGTTTTTATTTGAAGATATTTCCTTTTCTACTGTTGGCATCAAATCGCTTGAAATCTCCACTTGCAAACTCCACAAAAAGAGTGTTTCAAATCTGCTCTGTGCAAAGGGACGTTCCACTCTGTGAGTTGAATACACACAGCACAAAGAAGTTACTGAGAATTCTTCTGTCTAGCATGAAATGAAGAAATCCCGTTTCCAACGAAGGCCTCAATGCGGTCCATATATCCACTTGCAGACTTTACAAACAGAGTGTTTCCAAACTGCTCTATAAAAAGAAAGGTTAAACTATGTGAGTTGAACGCACACATCACAAAGAATTTTCTGAGAATGATTCTGTCTGGTTTTTATTTGAAGATATTTCCCTTTCTACTGTTGGCATCAAATGGCTAGAAATCTCCACTTGCAAATTCCGCAAAAAGAGTGTTTCAAATCTGCTCTGTGCAAAGGGACGTTCCACTCTGTGAGTTGAATACACACAGCACAAGGAAGTTACTGAGAATTCTTCCGTCTACCATTCAATGAAGAAATCCCGTTTCCAACGAAGGCCTCAAACAGGTCCATATATCCACTTGCAGACTTTACAAACAGTGTGTTTCCAAACTCCTCTATGAAAAGAAAGGTTAAACTCTGTGAGTTGAACGCACACATCACAAAGCACTTTCTGAGAATGATTCTGTCTGGTTGTTATACGAAGATATTTCCTTTTCTGCAATTGTCCTCAAATCGCTTGAAATCTCCACCTGAAAATGCCACAGCAAGAGTGTTTCAAATCTGCTCTCTCTAAAGCAAGGTTCAACTCTGTGAGTTGAATACACACAACACAAAAAAGTTACTGAGAACTCTTCTTAGTCTAGCATGAAAGGAAGAAACCCCGTTTGCAACGAAGGCCTCAAAGATGTCCAAATATCCACTTGCAGACATAACAAGCAGAGTGTTTCTAAACTGCTCTAAGAAAAGAAAGGTTAAACTCTGTGAGTTGAAGGCACACATCACAAAGTAGTTTCTGAGAATGATTCTGTCTAGTTTTTATTTGAAGATATTTCCTTTTCTACTGTTGGCATCAAATCGCTTGAAATCTCCACTTGCAAACTCCACAAAAAGAGTGTTTCAAATCTGCTCTGTGTAAAGGGACGTTCCACTCTGTGAGTTGAATACACACAGCACAAAGAAGTTACTGAGAATTCTTCTGTCTAGCATGAAATGAAGAAATCCCGTTTCCAACGAAGGCCTCAATGCGGTCCATATATCCACTTGCAGACTTTACAAACAGAGTGTTTCCAAACTGCTCTATGAAAAGAAAGGTTAAACTATGTGAGTTGAACGCACACATCACAAAGAATTTTCTGAGAATGATTCTGTCTGGTTTTTATTTGAAGATATTTCCCTTTCTACTATTGGCATCAAATGGCTAGAAATCTCCACTTGCAAATTCCGCAAAAAGAGTGTTTCAAATCTGCTCTGTCTAAAGGGACGTTCCACTCTGTGAGTTGAATGCACACAACACAAAGAATTTACTGAGAATTCTTCCGTCTAGCATTCAATGAAGAAATCCCGTTTCCAACGAAGGCCTCAAACAGGTCCATATATCCAATTGCAGACTTTACAAACAGTGTGTTTCCAAACTCCTCTATGAAAAGAAAGGTTAAACTCTGTGAGTTGAACGCACACATCACAAAGCACTTTCTGAGAATGATTCTGTCTGGTTGTTATACGAAGATATTTCCTTTTCTGTAATTGTCCTCAAATCGCTTGAAATCTCCACCTGAAAATGCCACAGCAAGAGTGTTTCAAATCTGCTCTCTCTAAAGCAAGGTTCAACTCTGTGAGTTGAATACACACAACACAAAAAAGTTACTGAGAACTCTTCTTAGTCTAGCATGAAAGGAAGAAACCCCGTTTGCAACGAAGGCCTCAAAGAGGTCCAAATATCCACTTGCAGACATAACAAGCAGAGTGTTTCTAAACTGCTCTAAGAAAAGAAAGGTTAAACTCTGTGAGTTGAAGGCACACATCACAAAGTAGTTTCTGAGAATGATTCTGTCTAGTTTTTATTTGAAGATATTTCCTTTTCTACTGTTGGCATCAAATCGCTTGAAATCTCCACTTGCAAACTCCACAAAAAGAGTGTTTCAAATCTGCTCTGTGTAAAGGGACGTTCCACTCTGTGAGTTGAATACACACAGCACAAAGAAGTTACTGAGAATTCTTCTGTCTAGCATGAAATGAAGAAATCCCGTTTCCAACGAAGGCCTCAATGCGGTCCATATATCCACTTGCAGACTTTACAAACAGAGTGTTTCCAAACTGCTCTATGAAAAGAAAGGTTAAACTATGTGAGTTGAACGCACACATCACAAAGAAATTTCTGAGAATGATTCTGTCTGGTTTTTATTTGAAGATATTTCCCTTTCTACTGTTGGCATCAAATGGCTAGAAATCTCCACTTGCAAATTCCGCAAAAAGAGTGTTTCAAATCTGCTCTGTCTAAAGGGACGTTCCACTCTGTCAGTTGAATGCACACAACACAAAGTATTTACTGAGAATTCTTCCGTCTAGCATGCAATGAAGAAATCCCGTTTCCAACGAAGGCCTCAAACAGGTCCATATATCCAATTGCAGACTTTACAAACAGTGTGTTTCCAAACTCCTCTATGAAAAGAAAGGTTAAACTCTGTGAGTTGAACGCACACATCACAAAGCACTTTCTGAGAATGATTCTGTCTGGTTGTTATACGAAGATATTTCCTTTTCTGAAATTGTCCTCAAATCGCTTGAAATCTCCACCTGAAAATGCCACAGCAAGAGTGTTTCAAATCTGCTCTCTCTAAAGCAAGGTTCAGCTCTGTGAGTTGAATACACACAACACAAAAAAGTTACTGAGAACTCTTCTTAGTCTAGCATGAAAGGAAGAAACCCCGTTTGCAACGAAGGCCTCAAAGAGGTCCAAATATCCACTTGCAGACATAACAAGCAGAGTGTTTCTAAACTGCTCTAAGAAAAGAAAGGTTAAACTCTGTGAGTTGAAGGCACACATCACAAAGTAGTTTCTGAGAATGATTCTGTCTAGTTTTTATTTGAAGATATTTCCTTTTCTACTGTTGGCATCAAATCGCTTGAAATCTCCCCTTGCAAACTCCACAAAAAGAGTGTTTCAAATCTGCTCTGTGTAAAGGGACGTTCCACTCTGTGAGTTGAATACACACAGCACAAAGAAGTTACTGAGAATTCTTCTGTCTAGCATGAAATGAAGAAATCCCGTTTCCAACGAAGGCCTCAATGCGGTCCATATATCCACTTGCAGACTTTACAAACAGAGTGTTTCCAAACTGCTCTATGAAAAGAAAGGTTAAACTATGTGAGTTGAACGCACACATCACAAAGAATTTTCTGAGAATGATTCTGTCTGGTTTTTATTTGAAGATATTTCCCTTTCTACTGTTGGCATCAAATGGCTAGAAATCTCCACTTGCAAATTCCGCAAAAAGAGTGTTTCAAATCTGCTCTGTCTAAAGGGACGTTCCACTCTGTGAGTTGAATGCACACAACACAAAGAATTTACTGAGAATTCTTCCGTCTAGCATTCAATGAAGAAATCCCGTTTCCAACGGAGGCCTCAAACAGGTCCATATATCCAATTGCAGACTTTACAAACAGTGTGTTTCCAAACTCCTCTATGAAAAGAAAGGTTAAACTCTGTGAGTTGAACGCACACATCACAAAGCACTTTCTGAGAATGATTCTGTCTGGTTATTATACGAAGATATTTCCTTTTCTGCAATTGTCCTCAAATCGCTTGAAATCTCCACCTGAAAATGCCACAGCAAGAGTGTTTCAAATCTGCTCTCTCTAAAGCAAGGTTCAACTCTGTGAGTTGAATACACACAACACAAAAAAGTTACTGAGAACTCTTCTTAGTCTAGCATAAAAGGAAGAAACCCCGTTTGCAACGAAGGCCTCAAAGAGGTCCAAATATCCACTTGCAGACATAACAAGCAGAGTGTTTCTAAACTGCTCTAAGAAAAGAAAGGTTAAACTCTGTGAGTTGAAGGCACACATCACAAAGTAGTTTCTGAGAATGATTCTGTCTAGTTTTTATTTGAAGATATTTCCTTTTCTACTGTTGGCATCAAATCGCTTGAAATCTCCACTTGCAAATTCCACAAAAAGAGTGTTTCAAATCTGCTCTGTGCAAAGGGACGTTCCACTCTGTGAGTTGAATACACACAGCACAAAGAAGTTACTGAGAATTCTTCTGTCTAGCATGAAATGAAGAAATCCCGTTTCCAACGAAGGCCTCAATGCGGTCCATATATCCACTTGCAGACTTTACAAACAGAGTGTTTCCAAACTGCTCTATGAAAAGAAAGGTTAAACTATGTGAGTTGAACGCACACATCACAAAGAATTTTCTGAGAATGATTCTGTCTGGTTTTTATTTGAAGATATTTCCCTTTCTACTGTTGGCATCAAATGGCTAGAAATCTCCACTTGCAAATTCCGCAAAAAGAGTGTTTCAAATCTGCTCTGTCTAAAGGGACGTTCCACTCTGTCAGTTGAATGCACACAACACAAAGAATTTACTGAGAATTCTTCCGTCTAGCAGTCAATGAAGAAATCCCGTTTCCAACGAAGGCCTCAAACAGGTCCATATATCCAATTGCAGACTGTACAAACAGTGTGTTTCCAAACTCCTCTATGAAAAGAAAGGTTAAACTCTGTGAGTTGAACGCACACATCACAAAGCACTTTCTGAGAATGATTCTGTCTGGTTGTTATACGAAGATATTTCCTTTTCTGCAATTGTCCTCAAATCGCTTGAAATCTCCACCTGAAAATGCCACAGCAAGAGTGTTTCAAATCTGCTCTCTCTAAAGCAAGGTTCAACTCTGTGAGTTGAATACACACAACACAAAAAAGTTACTGAGAACTCTTCTTAGTCTAGCATGAAAGGAAGAAACCCCGTTTGCAACGAAGGCCTCAAAGAGGTCCAAATATCCACTTGCAGACATAACAAGCAGAGTGTTTCTAAACTGCTCTAAGAAAAGAAAGGTTAAACTCTGTGAGTTGAAGGCACACATCACAAAGTAGTTTCTGAGAATGATTCTGTCTAGTTTTTATTTGAAGATATTTCCTTTTCTACTGTTGGCATCAAATCGCTTGAAATCTCCACTTGCAAATTCCACAAAAAGAGTGTTTCAAATCTGCTCTGTGCAAAGGGACGTTCCACTCTGTGAGTTGAATACACACAGCACAAAGAAGTTACTGAGAATTCTTCTGTCTAGCATGAAATGAAGAAATCCCGTTTCCAACGAAGGCCTCAATGCGGTCCATATATCCACTTGCAGACTTTACAAACAGAGTGTTTCCAAACTGCTCTATGAAAAGAAAGGTTAAACTATGTGAGTTGAACGCACACATCACAAAGAATTTTCTGAGAATGATTCTGTCTGGTTTTTATTTGAAGATATTTCCCTTTCTACTGTTGGCATCAAATGGCTAGAAATCTCCACTTGCAAATTCCGCAAAAAGAGTGTTTCAAATCTGCTCTGTCTGAAGGGACGTTCCACTCTGTGAGTTGAATGCACACAACACAAAGAATTTACTGAGAATTCTTCCGTCTAGCATTCAATGAAGAAATCCCGTTTCCAACGAAGGCCTCAAACAGGTCCATATATCCACTTGCAGACTTTACAAACAGTGTGTTTCCAAACTCCTCTATGAAAAGAAAGGTTAAACTCTGTGAGTTGAACGCACACATCACAAAGCACTTTCTGAGAATGATTCTGTCTGGTTATTATACGAAGATATTTCCTTTTCTGCAATTGTCCTCAAATCGCTTGAAATCTCCACCTGAAAATGCCACAGCAAGAGTGTTTCAAATCTGCTCTCTCTAAAGCAAGGTTCAACTCTGTGAGTTGAATACACACAACACAAAAAAGTTACTGAGAACTCTTCTTAGTCTAGCATGAAAGGAAGAAACCCCGTTTGCAACGAAGGCCTCAAAGAGGTCCAAATATCCACTTGCAGACATAACAAGCAGAGTGTTTCTAAACTGCTCTAAGAAAAGAAAGGTTGAACTCTGTGAGTTGAAGGCACACATCACAAAGTAGTTTCTGAGAATGATTCTGTCTAGTTTTTATTTGAAGATATTTCCTTTTCTACTGTTGGCATCAAATCGCTTGAAATCTCCACTTGCAAATTCCACAAAAAGAGTGTTTCAAATCTGCTCTGTGCAAAGGGACGTTCCACTCTGTGAGTTGAATACACACAGCACAATGAAGTTACTGAGAATTCTCTGTCTAGCATGAAATGAAGAAATCCCGTTTCCAACGAAGGCCTCAATGCGGTCCATATATCCACTTGCAGACTTTACAAACAGAGTGTTTCCAAACTGCTCTATGAAAAGAAAGGTTAAACTATGTGAGTTGAACGCACACATCACAAAGAATTTTCTGAGAATGATTCTGTCTGGTTTTTATTTGAAGATATTTCCCTTTCTACTGTTGGCATCAAATGGCTAGAAATCTCCACTTGCAAATTCCGCAAAAAGAGTGTTTCAAATCTGCTCTGTCTAAAGGGACGTTCCACTCTGTGAGTTGAATGCACACAACACAAAGAATTTACTGAGAATTCTTCCGTCTAGCATTCAACGAAGAAATCCCGTTTCCAACGGAGGCCTCAAACAGGTCCATATATCCAATTGCAGACTTTACAAACAGTGTGTTTCCAAACTCCTCTATGAAAAGAAAGGTTAAACTCTGTGAGTTGAACGCACACATCACAAAGCACTTTCTGAGAATGATTCTGTCTGGTTATTATACGAAGATATTTCCTTTTCTGCAATTGTCCTCAAATCGCTTGAAATCTCCACCTGAAAATGCCACAGCAAGAGTGTTTCAAATCTGCTCTCTCTAAAGCAAGGTTCAACTCTGTGAGTTGAATACACACAACACAAAAAAGTTACTGAGAACTCTTCTTAGTCTAGCATGAAAGGAAGAAACCCCGTTTGCAACGAAGGCCTCAAAGAGGTCCAAATATCCACTTGCAGACATAACAAGCAGAGTGTTTCTAAACTGCTCTAAGAAAAGAAAGGTTAAACTCTGTGAGTTGAAGGCACACATCACAAAGTAGTTTCTGAGAATGATTCTGTCTAGTTTTTATTTGAAGATATTTCCTTTTCTACTGTTGGCATCAAATCGCTTGAAATCTCCACTTGCAAACTCCACAAAAAGAGTGTTTCAAATCTGCTCTGTGCAAAGGGACGTTCCACTCTGTGAGTTGAATACACACAGCACAAAGAAGTTACTGAGAATTCTTCTGTCTAGTATGAAATGAAGAAATCCCGTTTCCAACGAAGGCCTCAATGCGGTCCATATATCCACTTGCAGACTTTACAAACAGAGTGTTTCCAAACTGCTCTATGAAAAGAAAGGTTAAACTATGTGAGTTGAACGCACACATCACAAAGAATTTTCTGAGAATGATTCTGTCTGGTTTTTATTTGAAGATATTTCCCTTTCTACTGTTGGCATCAAATGGCTAGAAATCTCCACTTGCAAATTCCGCAAAAAGAGTGTTTCAAATCTGCTCTGTCTAAAGGGACGTTCCACTCTGTGAGTTGAATGCACACAACACAAAGAATTTACTGAGAATTCTTCCGTCTAGCATTCAATGAAGAAATCCCGTTTCCAACGAAGGCCTCAAACAGGTCCATATATCCACTTGCAGACTTTACAAACAGTGTTTTTCCAAACTCCTCTATGAAAAGAAAGGTTAAACTCTGTGAGTGGAACGCAAACATCACAAAGCACTTTCTGAGAATGATTCTGTCTGGTTATTATACGAAGATATTTCCTTTTCTGCAATTGTCCTCAAATCGCTTGAAATCTCCACCTGAAAATGCCACAGCAAGAGTGTTTCAAATCTGCTCTCTCTAAAGCAAGGTTCAACTCTGTGAGTTGAATACACACAACACAAAAAAGTTACTGAGAACTCTTCTTAGTCTAGCATGAAAGGAAGAAACCCCGTTTGCAACGAAGGCCTCAAAGAGGTCCAAATTTCCACTTGCAGACATAACAAGCAGAGTGTTTCTAAACTGCTCTAAGAAAAGAAAGGTTAAACTCTGTGAGTTGAAGGCACACATCACAAAGTAGTTTCTTAGAATGATTCTGTCTAGTTTTTATTTGAAGATATTTCCTTTTCTACTGTTGGCATCAAATCGCTTGAAATCTCCACTTGCAAACTCCACAAAAAGAGTGTTTCAAATCTGCTCTGTGTAAAGGGACGTTCCACTCTGTGAGTTGAATACACACAGCACAAAGAAGTTACTGAGAATTCTTCTGTCTAGCATGAAATGAAGAAATCCCGTTTCCAACGAAGGCCTCAATGCGGTCCATATATCCACTTGCAGACTTTACAAACAGAGTGTTTCCAAACTGCTCTATGAAAAGAAAGGTTAAACTATGTGAGTTGAACGCACACATCACAAAGAATTTTCTGAGAATGATTCTGTCTGGTTTTTATTTGAAGATATTTCCCTTTCTACTGTTGGCATCAAATGGCTAGAAATCTCCACTTGCAAATTCCGCAAAAAGAGTGTTTCAAATCTGCTCTGTCTAAAGGGACGTTCCACTCTGTGAGTTGAATGCACACAACACAAAGAATTTACTGAGAATTCTTCCGTCTAGCATTCAATGAAGAAATCCCGTTTCCAACGAAGGCCTCAAACAGGTCCATATATCCACTTGCAGACTTTACAAACAGTGTGTTTCCAAACTCCTCTGTGAAAAGAAAGGTTAAACTCTGTGAGTTGAACGCACACATCACAAAGCACTTTCTGAGAATGATTCTGTCTGGTTATTATACGAAGATATTTCCTTTTCTGCAATTGTCCTCAAATCGCTTGAAATCTCCACCTGAAAATTCCACAGCAAGAGTGTTTCAAATCTGCTCTCTCTAAAGCAAGGTTCAACTCTGTGAGTTTAATACACACAACACAAAAAAGTTACTGAGAACTCTCTTAGTCTAGCATGAAAGGAAGAAACCCCGTTTGCAACGAAGGCCTCAAAGAGGTCCAAATATCCACTTGCAGACATAACAAGCAGAGTGTTTCTAACCTGCTCTAAGAAAAGAAAGGTTAAACTCTGTGAGTTGAAGGCACACATCACAAAGTAGTTTCTGAGAATGATTCTGTCTAGTTTTTATTTGAAGTTATTTCCTTTTCTACTGTTGGCATCAAATAGCTTGAAATCTCCACTGGCAAATTCCACAAAAAGAGTGTTTCAAATCTGCTCTGTGTAAAGGGACGTTCCACTCTGTGACTTGAATACACACAACAAAAAGAAATTACTGAGAATTCTTCTGTCTAGCATTAAATGAAGAAATCCCGTTTCCATCTAATGCCTCAAAACTGTCCATATATCCACTTGCAGATTTTACAGTGCTTTTCCAAGCTGCTCTACGAAAAGAAAGGTTTAACTATGTCAGCTGAACGCACACATCACAAAGAATTTTCTGATAATGATTCTGTCTAGTTTTTTTTTGAAGATATTTCCTTTTCTACTGTTGGCATCAAATTGCTTGAAATCTCCATTTGCAAATTCCAGAAAAAGAGTGTTTCAAATCTTCTCTGTCTAAAGGGACGTTCCACTCTGTGAGTTGAATGCACACAACACAAAGAATTTACTGAGAATTCTTCCGTCTAGCATTCAATGAAGAAATCCCGTTTCCAACGAAGGCCTCAAACAGGTCCATGTATCCACTTGCAGTCTTTACAAACAGTGTGTTTCCAAACTCCTCTATGAAAAGAAAGGTTAAACTCTGTGAGTTGAACGCACACATCACAAAGCACTTTCTGAGAATGATTCTGTCTGGTTATTATACGAAGATATTTCCTTTTCTGCAATTGTCCTCAAATCGCTTGAAATCTCCACCTGAAAATGCCACAGCAAGAGTGTTTCAAATCTGCTCTCTCTAAAGCAAGGTTCAACTCTGTGAGTTGAATACACACAACACAAAAAAGTTACTGAGAACTCTTCTTAGTCTAGCATGAAAGGAAGAAACCCCGTTTGCAACGAAGGCCTCAAAGAGGTCCAAATATCCACTTGCAGACATAACAAGCAGAGTGTTTCTAAACTGCTCTAAGAAAAGAAAGGTTAAACTCTGTGAGTTGAAGGCACACATCACAAAGTAGTTTCTGAGAATGATTCTGTCTAGTTTTTATTTGAAGATATTTCCTTTTTCTACTGTTGGCATCAAATCGCTTGAAATCTCCACTTGCAAACTCCACAAAAAGAGTGTTTCAAATCTGCTCTGTGTAAAGGGACGTTCCACTCTGTGAGTTGAATACACACAGCACAAAGAAGTTACTGAGAATTCTTCTGTCTAGCATGAAAGGAAGAAATCCCGTTTCCAACGAAGGCCTCAATGCGGTCCATATATCCACTTGCAGACTTTACAAACAGAGTGTTTCCAAACTGCTCTATGAAAAGAAAGGTTAAACTATGTGAGTTGAACGCACACATCACAAAGAATTTTCTGAGAATGATTCTGTCTGGTTTTTATTTGAAGATATTTCCCTTTCTACTGTTGGCATCAAATGGCTAGAAATCTCCACTTGCAAATTCCGCAAAAAGAGTGTTTCAAATCTGCTCTGTCTAAAGGGACGTTCCACTCTGTGAGTTGAATGCACACAACACAAAGAATTTACTGAGAATTCTTCCGTCTAGCATTCAATGAAGAAATCCCGTTTCCAACGAAGGCCTCAAACAGGTCCATATATCCAATTGCAGACTTTACAAACAGTGTGTTTCCAAACTCCTCTATGAAAAGAAAGGTTAAACTCTGTGAGTTGAACGCACACATCACAAAGCACTTTCTGAGAATGATTCTGTCTGGTTGTTATACGAAGATATTTCCTTTTCTGCAATTGTCCTCAAATCGCTTGAAATCTCCACCTGAAAATGCCACCGCAAGAGTGTTTCAAATCTGCTCTCTCTAAAGCAAGGTTCAACTCTGTGAGTTGAATACACACAACACAAAAAAGTTACTGAGAACTCTTCTTAGTCTAGCATGAAAGGAAGAAACACCGTTTGCAACGAAGGCCTCAAAGAGGTCCAAATATCCACTTGCAGACATAACAAGCAGAGTGTTTCTAAAGTGCTCTAAGAAAAGAAAGGTTAAACTCTGTGAGTTGAAGGCACACATCACAAAGTAGTTTCTGAGAATGATTCTGTCTAGTTTTTATTTGAAGATATTTCCTTTTCTACTGTTGGCATCAAATCGCTTGAAATCTCCACTTGCAAACTCCACAAAAAGAGTGTTTCAAATCTGCTCTGTGCAAAGGGACGTTCCACTCTGTGAGTTGAATACACACAGCACAAAGAAGTTACTGAGAATTCTTCTGTCTAGCATGAAATGAAGAAATCCCGTTTCCAACGAAGGCCTCAATGCGGTCCATATATCCACTTGCAGACTTTACAAACAGAGTGTTTCCAAACTGCTCTATGAAAAGAAAGGTTAAACTATGTGAGTTGAACGCACACATCACAAAGAATTTTCTGAGAATGATTCTGTCTGGTTTTTATTTGAAGATATTTCCCTTTCTACTGTTGGCATCAAATGGCTAGAAATCTCCACTTGCAAATTCCGCAAAAAGAGTGTTTCAAATCTGCTCTGTCTAAAGGGACGTTCCACTCTGTGAGTTGAATGCACACAACACAAAGAATTTACTGAGAATTCTTCCGTCTAGCATTCAATGAAGAAATCCCGTTTCCAACGAAGGCCTCAAACAGGTCCATATATCCACTTGCAGACTTTACAAACAGTGTGTTTCCAAACTCCTCTATGAAAAGAAAGGTTAAACTCTGTGAGTTGAACGCACACATCACAAAGCACTTTCTGAGAATGATTCTGTCTGGTTATTATACGAAGATATTTCCTTTTCTGCAATTGTCCTCAAATCGCTTGAAATCTCCACCTGAAAATGCCACAGCAAGAGTGTTTCAAATCTGCTCTCTCTAAAGCAAGGTTCAACTCTGTGAGTTGAATACACACAACACAAAAAAGTTACTGAGAACTCTTCTTAGTCTAGCATGAAAGGAAGAAACCCCGTTTGCAACGAAGGCCTCAAAGAGGTCCAAATATCCACTTGCAGACATAACAAGCAGAGTGTTTCTAAACTGCTCTAAGAAAAGAAAGGTTAAACTCTGTGAGTTGAAGGCACACATCACAAAGTAGTTTCTGAGAATGATTCTGTCTAGTTTTTATTTGAAGATATTTCCTTTTCTACTGTTGGCATCAAATCGCTTGAAATCTCCACTTGCAAATTCCACAAAAAGAGTGTTTCAAATCTGTTCTGTGTAAAGGAACGTTCCACTCTGTGAGTTGAATACACACAGCACAAAGAAGTTACTGAGAATTCTTCTGTCTAGCATGAAATGAAGAAATCCCGTTTCCAACGAAGGCCTCAATGCGGTCCATATATCCACTTGCAGACTTTACAAACAGAGTGTTTCCAAACTGCTCTATGAAAAGAAAGGTTAAACTATGTGAGTTGAACGCACACATCACAAAGAATTTTCTGAGAATGATTCTGTCTGGTTTTTATTTGAAGATATTTCCCTTTCTACTGTTGGCATCAAATGGCTAGAAATCTCCACTTGCAAATTCCGCAAAAAGAGTGTTTCAAATCTGCTCTGTCTAAAGGGACGTTCCACTCTGTGAGTTGAATGCACACAACACAAAGAATTTACTGAGAATTCTTCCGTCTAGCATTCAATGAAGAAATCCCGTTTCCAACGAAGGCCTCAAACAGGTCCATATATCCACTTGCAGACTTTACAAACAGTGTGTTTCCAAACTCCTCTATGGAAAGAAAAGTTAAACTCTGTGAGTTGAACGCACACATCACAAAGCACTTTCTGAGAATGATTCTGTCTGGTTATTATACGAAGATATTTCCTTTTCTGCAATTGTCCTCAAAACGCTTGAAATCTCCACCTGAAAATGCCACAGCAAGAGTGTTTCAAATCTGCTCTCTCTAAAGCAAGGTTCAACTCTGTGAGTTGAATACACACAACACAAAAAAGTTACTGAGAACTCTTCTTAGTCTAGCATGAAAGGAAGAAACCCCGTTTGCAACGAAGGCCTCAAAGAGGTCCAAATATCCACTTGCAGACATAACAAGCAGAGTGTTTCTAAACTGCTCTAAGAAAAGAAAGGTTAAACTCTGTGAGTTGAAGGCACACATCACAAAGTAGTTTCTGAGAATGATTCTGTCTAGTTTTTATTTGAAGATATTTCCTTTTCTACTGTTGGCATCAAATCGCTTGAAATCTCCACTTGCAAACTCCACAAAAAGAGTGTTTCAAATCTGCTCTGTGCAAAGGGACGTTCCACTCTGTGAGTTGAATACACACAGCACAAAGAAGTTACTGAGAATTCTTCTGTCTAGCATGAAATGAAGAAATCCCGTTTCCAACGAAGGCCTCAATGCGGTCCATATATCCACTTGCAGACTTTACAAACAGAGTGTTTCCAAACTGCTCTATGAAAAGAAAGGTTAAACTATGTGAGTTGAACGCACACATCACAAAGAATTTTCTGAGAATGATTCTGTCTGGTTTTTATTTGAAGATATTTCCCTTTCTACTGTTGGCATCAAATGGCTAGAAATCTCCACTTGCAAATTCCGCAAAAAGAGTGTTTCAAATCTGCTCTGTCTAAAGGGACGTTCCACTCTGTGAGTTGAATGCACACAACACAAAGAATTTACTGAGAATTCTTCCGTCTAGCATTCAATGAAGAAATCCCGTTTCCAACGAAGGCCTCAAACAGGTCCATATATCCAATTGCAGACTTTACAAACAGTGTGTTTCCAAACTCCTCTATGAAAAGAAAGGTTAAACTCTGTGAGTTGAACGCACACATCACAAAGCACTTTCTGAGAATGATTCTGTCTGGTTATTATACGAAGATATTTCCTTTTCTGCAATTGTCCTCAAATCGCTTGAAATCTCCACCTGAAAATGCCACAGCAAGAGTGTTTCAAATCTGCTCTCTCTAAAGCAAGGTTCAACTCTGTGAGTTGAATACACACAACACAAAAAAGTTACTGAGAACTCTTCTTAGTCTAGCATGAAAGGAAGAAACCCCGTTTGCAACGAAGGCCTCAAAGAGGTCCAAATATCCACTTGCAGACATAACAAGCAGAGTGTTTCTAAACTGCTCTAAGAAAAGAAAGGTTAAACTCTGTGAGTTGAAGGCACACATCACAAAGTAGTTTCTGAGAATGATTCTGTCTAGTTTTTATTTGAAGATATTTCCTTTTCTACTGTTGGCATCAAATCGCTTGAAATCTCCACTTGCAAACTCCACAAAAAGAGTGTTTCAAATCTGCTCTGTGCAAAGGGACGTTCCACTCTGTGAGTTGAATACACACAGCACAAAGAAGTTACTGAGAATTCTTCTGTCTAGCATGAAATGAAGAAATCCCGTTTCCAACGAAGGCCTCAATGCGGTCCATATATCCACTTGCAGACTTTACAAACAGAGTGTTTCCAAACTGCTCTATGAAAAGAAAGGTTAAACTATGTGAGTTGAACGCACACATCACAAAGAATTTTCTGAGAATGATTCTGTCTGGTTTTTATTTGAAGATATTTCCCTTTCTACTGTTGGCATCAAATGGCTAGAAATCTCCACTTGCAAATTCCGCAAAAAGAGTGTTTCAAATCTGCTCTGTCTAAAGGGACGTTCCACTCTGTGAGTTGAATGCACACAACACAAAGAATTTACTGAGAATTCTTCCGTCTAGCATTCAATGAAGAAATCCCGTTTCCAACGAAGGCCTCAAACAGGTCCATATATCCAATTGCAGACTTTACAAACAGTGTGTTTCCAAACTCCTCTATGAAAAGAAAGGTTAAACTCTGTGAGTTGAACGCACACATCACAAAGCACTTTCTGAGAATGATTCTGTCTGGTTGTTATACGAAGATATTTCCTTTTCTGCAATTGTCCTCAAATCGCTTGAAATCTCCACCTGAAAATGCCACAGCAAGAGTGTTTCAAATCTGCTCTCTCTAAAGCAAGGTTCAACACTGTGAGTTGAATACACACAACACAAAAAAGTTACTGAGAACTCTTCTTAGTCTAGCATGAAAGGAAGAAACCCCGTTTGCAACGAAGGCCTCAAAGAGGTCCAAATATCCACTTGCAGACATAACAAGCAGAGTGTTTCTAAACTGCTCTAAGAAAAGAAAGGTTAAACTCTGTGAGTTGAAGGCACACATCACAAAGTAGTTTCTGAGAATGATTCTGTCTAGTTTTTATTTGAAGATATTTCCTTTTCTACTGTTGGCATCAAATCGCTTGAAATCTCCACTTGCAAACTCCACAAAAAGAGTGTTTCAAATCTGCTCTGTGTAAAGGGACGTTCCACTCTGTGAGTTGAATACACACAGCACAAAGAAGTTACTGAGAATTCTTCTGTCTAGCATGAAATGAAGAAATCCCGTTTCCAACGAAGGCCTCAATGCGGTCCATATATCCACTTGCAGACTTTACAAACAGAGTGTTTCCAAACTGCTCTATGAAAAGAAAGGTTAAACTATGTGAGTTGAACGCACACATCACAAAGAATTTTCTGAGAATGATTCTGTCTGGTTTTTATTTGAAGATATTTCCCTTTCTACTGTTGGCATCAAATGGCTAGAAATCTCCACTTGCAAATTCCGCAAAAAGAGTGTTTCAAATCTGCTCTGTCTAAAGGGACGTTCCACTCTGTGAGTTGAATGCACACAACACAAAGAATTTACTGAGAATTCTTCCGTCTAGCATTCAATGAAGAAATCCCGTTTCCAACGAAGGCCTCAAACAGGTCCATATATCCACTTGCAGACTTTACAAACAGTGTGTTTCCAAACTCCTCTATGAAAAGAAAGGTTAAACTCTGTGAGTGGAACGCACACATCACAAAGCACTTTCTGAGAATGATTCTGTCTGGTTATTATACGAAGATATTTCCTTTTCTGCAATTGTCCTCAAATCGCTTGAAATCTCCACCTGAAAATGCCACAGCAAGAGTGTTTCAAATCTGCTCTCTCTAAAGCAAGGTTCAACTCTGTGAGTTGAATACACACAACACAAAAAAGTTACTGAGAACTCTTCTTAGTCTAGCATGAAAGGAAGAAACCCAGTTTGCAACGAAGGCCTCAAAGAGGTCCAAATATCCACTTGCAGACATAACAAGCAGAGTGTTTCTAAACTGCTCTAAGAAAAGAAAGGTTAAACTCTGTGAGTTGAAGGCACACATCACAAAGTAGTTTCTGAGAATGATTCTGTCTAGTTTTTATTTGAAGATATTTCCTTTTCTACTGTTGGCATCAAATCGCTTGAAATCTCCACTTGCAAACTCCACAAAAAGAGTGTTTCAAATCTGCTCTGTCTAAAGGGACGTTCCACTCTGTGAGTTGAATGCACACAACACAAAGAATTTACTGAGAATTCTTCCGTCTAGCATGCAATGAAGAAATCCCGTTTCCAACGAAGGCCTCAAACAGGTCCATATATCCAATTGCAGACTTTACAAACAGTGTGTTTCCAAACTCCTCTATGAAAAGAAAGGTTAAACTCTGTGAGTTGAACGCACACATCACAAAGCACTTTCTGAGAATGATTCTGTCTGGTTATTATACGAAGATATTTCCTTTTCTGCAATTGTCCTCAAATCGCTTGAAATCTCCACCTGAAAATGCCACAGCAAGAGTGTTTCAAATCTGCTCTCTCTAAAGCAAGGTTCAACTCTGTGATTTGAATACACACAACACAAAAAAGTTACTGAGAACTCTTCTTAGTCTAGCATGAAAGGAAGAAACCCCGTTTGCAACGAAGGCCTCAAAGAGGTCCAAATATCCACTTGCAGACATAACAAGCAGAGTGTTTCTAAACTGCTCTAAGAAAAGAAAGGTTAAACTCTGTGAGTTGAAGGCACACATCACAAAGTAGTTTCTGAGAATGATTCTGTCTAGTTTTTATTTGAAGATATTTCCTTTTCTACTGTTGGCATCAAATCGCTTGAAATATCCACTTGCAAACTCCACAAAAAGAGTGTTTCAAATCTGCTCTGTGCAAAGGGACGTTCCACTCTGTGAGTTGAATACACACAGCACAAAGAAGTTACTGAGAATTCTTCTGTCTAGCATGAAATGAAGAAATCCCGTTTCCAACGAAGGCCTCAATGCGGTCCATATATCCACTTGCAGACTTTACAAACAGAGTGTTTCCAAACTGCTCTATGAAAAGAAAGGTTAAACTATGTGAGTTGAACACACACATCACAAAGAATTTTCTGAGAATGATTCTGTCTGGTTTTTATTTGAAGATATTTCCCTTTCTACTGTTGGCATCAAATGGCTAGAAATCTCCACTTGCAAATTCCGCCAAAAAGTGTTTCAAATCTGCTCTGTCTAAAGGGACGTTCCACTCTGTGAGTTGAATGCACACAACACAAAGAATTTACTGAGAATTCTTCCGTCTAGCATTCAATGAAGAAATTCCGTTTCCAACGAAGGCCTCAAACAGGTCCATATATCCAATTGCAGACATTACAAACAGTGTGTTTCCAAACTCCTCTATGAAAAGAAAGGTTAAACTCTGTGAGTTGAACGCACACATCACAAAGCACTTTCTGAGAATGATTCTGTCTGGTTATTATACGAAGATATTTCCTTTTCTGCAATTGTCCTCAAATCGCTTGAAATCTCCACCTGAAAATGCCACAGCAAGAGTGTTTCAAATCTGCTCTCTCTAAAGCAAGGTTCAACTCTGTGAGTTGAATACACACAACACAAAAAAGTTACTGAGAACTCTTCTTAGTCTAGCATGAAAGGAAGAAACCCCGTTTGCAACGAAGGCCTCAAAGAGGTCCAAATATCCACTTGCAGACATAACAAGCAGAGTGTTTCTAAACTGCTCTAAGAAAAGAAAGGTTAAACTCTGTGAGTTGAAGGCACACATCACAAGGTAGTTTCTGAGAATGATTCTGTCTAGTTTTTATTTGAAGATATTTCCTTTTCTACTGTTGGCATCAAATCGCTTGAAATCTCCACTTGCAAACTCCACAAAAAGAGTGTTTCAAATCTGCTCTGTGCAAAGGGACGTTCCACTCTGTGAGTTGAATACACACAGCACAAAGAAGTTACTGAGAATTCTTCTGTCTAGCATGAAATGAAGAAATCCCGTTTCCAACGAAGGCCTCAATGCGGTCTATATATCCACTTGCAGACTTCACAAACAGAGTGTTTCCAAACTGCTCTATGAAAAGAAAGGTTAAACTATGTGAGTTGAACGCACACATCACAAAGAATTTTCTGAGAATGATTCTGTCTGGTTTTTATTTGAAGATATTTCCCTTTCTACTGTTGGCATCAAATGGCTAGAAATCTCCACTTGCAAATTCCGCAAAAAGAGTGTTTCAAATCTGCTCTGTCTAAAGGGACGTTCCACTCTGTGAGTTGAATGCACACAACACAAAGAATTTACTGAGAATTCTTCCGTCTAGCATTCAATGAAGAAATCCCGTTTCCAACGAAGGCCTCAAACAGGTCCATATATCCAATTGCAGACTTTACAAACAGTGTGTTTCCAAACTCCTCTATGAAAAGAAAGGTTAAACTCTGTGAGTGGAACGCACACATCACAAAGCACTTTCTGAGAATGATTCTGTCTGGTTATTATACGAAGATATTTCCTTTTCTGCAATTGTCCTCAAATCGCTTGAAATCTCCACCTGAAAATGCCACAGCAAGAGTGTTTCAAATCTGCTCTCTCTAAAGCAAGGTTCAACTCTGTGAGTTGAATACACACAACACAAAAAAGTTACTGAGAACTCTTCTTAGTCTAGCATGAAAGGAAGAAACCCCGTTTGCAACGAAGGCCTCAAAGAGGTCCAAATATCCACTCGCAGACATAACAAGCAGAGTGTTTCTAAACTGCTCTAAAAAAAGAAAGGTTAAACTCTGTGAGTTGAAGGCACACATCACAAAGTAGTTTCTGAGAATGATTCTGTCTAGTTTTTATTTGAAGATATTTCCTTTTCTACTGTTGGCATCAAATCGCTTGAAATCTCCACTTGCAAACTCCACAAAAAGAGTGTTTCAAATCTGCTCTGTGCAAAGGGACGTTCCACTCTGTGAGTTGAATACACCCAGCACAAAGAAGATACTGAGAATTCTTCTGTCTAGTATGAAATGAAGAAATCCCGTTTCCAACGAAGGCCTCAATGCGGTCCATATATCCACTTGCAGACTTTACAAACAGAGTGTTTCCAAACTGCTCTATGAAAAGAAAGGTTAAACTATGTGAGTTGAACGCACACATCACAAAGAATTTTCTGAGAATGATTCTGTCTGGTTTTTATTTGAAGATATTTCCCTTTCTACTGTTGGCATCAAATGGCTAGAAATCTCCACTTGCAAATTCCGCAAAAAGAGTGTTTCAAATCTGCTCTGTCTAAAGGGACGTTCCACTCTGTCAGTTGAATGCACACAACACAAAGAATTTACTGAGAATTCTTCCGTCTAGCATTCAATGAAGAAATCCCGTTTCCAACGAAGGCCTCAAACAGGTCCATATATCCAATTGCAGACTTTACAAACAGTGTGTTTCCAAACTCCTCTATGAAAAGAAAGGTTAAACTCTGTGAGTTGAACGCACACATCACAAAGCACTTTCTGAGAATGATTCTGTCTGGTTGTTATACGAAGATATTTCCTTTTCTGCAATTGTCCTCAAATCGCTTGAAATCTCCACCTGAAAATGCCACAGCAAGAGTGTTTCAAATCTGCTCTCTCTAAAGCAAGGTTCAGCTCTGTGAGTTGAATACACACAACACAAAAAAGTTACTGAGAACTCTTCTTAGTCTAGCATGAAAGGAAGAAACCCCGTTTGCAACGAAGGCCTCAAAGAGGTCCAAATATCCACTTGCAGACATAACAAGCCGAGTGTTTCTAAACTGCTCTAAGAAAAGAAAGGTTAAACTCTGTGAGTTGAAGGCACACATCACAAAGTAGTTTCTGAGAATGATTCTGTCTAGTTTTTATTTGAAGATATTTCCTTTTCTACTGTTGGCATCAAATCGCTTGAAATCTCCACTTGCAAACTCCACAAAAAGAGTGTTTCAAATCTGCTCTGTGCAAAGGGACGTTCCACTCTGTGAGTTGAATACACACAGCACAAAGAAGTTACTGAGAATTCTTCTGTCTAGCATGAAATGAAGAAATCCCGTTTCCAACGAAGGCCTCAAATGCGGTCCATATATCCACTTGCAGACTTTACAAACAGAGTGTTTCCAAACTGCTCTATGAAAAGAAAGGTTAAACTATGTGAGTTGAACGCACACATCACAAAGAATTTTCTGAGAATGATTCTGTCTGGTTTTTATTTGAAGATATTTCCCTTTCTACTGTTGGCATCAAATGGCTAGAAATCTCCACTTGCAAATTCCGCAAAAAGAGTGTTTCAAATCTGCTCTGTCTAAAGGGACGTTCCACTCTGTGAGTTGAATGCACACAACACAAAGAATTTACTGAGAATTCTTCCGTCTAGCATTCAATGAAGAAATCCCGTTTCCAACGAAGGCCTCAAACAGGTCCATATATCCACTTGCAGAGTTTACAAACAGTGTGTTTCCAAACTCCTCTATGAAAAGAAAGGTTAAACTCTGTGAGTGGAACGCACACATCACAAAGCACTTTCTGAGAATGATTCTGTCTGGTTATTATACGAAGATATTTCCTTTTCTGCAATTGTCCTCAAAACGCTTGAAATCTCCACCTGAAAATGCCACAGCAAGAGTGTTTCAAATCTGCTCTCTCTAAAGCAAGGTTCAACTCTGTGAGTTGAATACACACAACACAAAAAAGTTACTGAGAACTCTTCTTAGTCTAGCATGAAAGGAAGAAACCCCGTTTGCAACGAAGGCCTCAAAGAGGTCCAAATATCCACTTGCAGACATAACAAGCAGAGTGTTTCTAAACTGCTCTAAGAAAAGAAAGGTTAAACTCTGTGAGTTGAAGGCACACATCACAAAGTAGTTTCTGAGAATGATTCTGTCTAGTTTTTATTTGAAGATATTTCCTTTTCTACTGTTGGCATCAAATCGCTTGAAATCTCCACTTGCAAACTCCACAAAAAGAGTGTTTCAAATCTGCTCTGTGTAAAGGGACGTTCCACTCTGTGAGTTGAATACACACAGCACAAAGAAGTTACTGAGAATTCTTCTGTCTAGCATGAAATGAAGAAATCCCGTTTCCAACGAAGGCCTCAATGCGGTCCATATATCCACTTGCAGACTTTACAAACAGAGTGTTTCCAAACTGCTCTATGAAAAGAAAGGTTATACTATGTGAGTTGAACGCACACATCACAAAGAATTTTCTGAGAATGATTCTGTCTGGTTTTTATTTGAAGATATTTCCCTTTCTACTGTTGGCATCAAATGGCTAGAAATCTCCACTTGCAAATTCCGCAAAAAGAGTGTTTCAAATCTGCTCTGTCTAAAGGGACGTTCCACTCTGTGAGTTGAATGCACACAACACAAAGAATTTACTGAGAATTCTTCCGTCTAGCATTCAATGAAGAAATCAGGTTTCCAACGAAGGCCTCAAACAGGTCCATATATCCAATTGCAGACTTTACAAACAGTGTGTTTCCAAACTCCTCTATGAAAAGAAAGGTTAAACTCTGTGAGTTGAACGCACACATCACAAAGCACTTTCTGAGAATGATTCTGTCTGGTTATTATACGAAGATATTTCCTTTTCTGCAATTGTCCTCAAATCGCTTGAAATCTCCACCTGAAAATGCCACAGCAAGAGTGTTTCAAATCTGCTCTCTCTAAAGCAAGGTTCAACTCTGTGAGTTGAATACACACAACACAAAAAAGTTGCTGAGAACTCTTCTTAGTCTAGCATGAAAGGAAGAAACCCCGTTTGCAACGAAGGCCTCAAAGAGGTCCAAATATCCACTTGCAGACATAACAAGCAGAGTGTTTCTAAACTGCTCTAAGAAAAGAAAGGTTAAACTCTGTGAGTTGAAGGCACACATCACAAAGTAGTTTCTGAGAATGATTCTGTCTAGTTTTTATTTGAAGATATTTCCTTTTCTACTGTTGGCATCAAATCGCTTGAAATCTCCACTTGCAAACTCCACAAAAAGAGTGTTTCAAATCTGCTCTGTGTAAAGGGTCGTTCCACTCTGTGAGTTGAATACACACAGCACAAAGAAGTGACTGAGAATTCTTCTGTCTAGCATGAAATGAAGAAATCCCGCTTCCAACGA
This sequence comes from Homo sapiens, assembly GCF_000001405.40. NCBI lineage: Eukaryota > Metazoa > Chordata > Mammalia > Primates > Hominidae > Homo > Homo sapiens. The sequence goes on along the minus strand of NC_000007.14, from coordinate 58,224,445 downwards.
AGGCCTCAATGCGGTCCATATATCCACTTGCAGACTTTACAAACAGAGTGTTTCCAAACTGCTCTATGAAAAGAAAGGTTAAACTATGTGAGTTGAACGCACACATCACAAAGAATTTTCTGAGAATGATTCTGTCTGGTTTTTATTTGAAGATATTTCCCTTTCTACTGTTGGCATCAAATGGCTAGAAATCTCCACTTGCAAATTCCGCAAAAAGAGTGTTTCAAATCTGCTCTGTCTAAAGGGACGTTCCACTCTGTGAGTTGAATGCACACAACACAAAGAATTTACTGAGAATTCTTCCGTCTAGCATTCAATGAAGAAATCCCGTTTCCAACGGAGGCCTCAAACAGGTCCATATATCCAATTGCAGACTTTACAAACAGTGTGTTTCCAAACTCCTCTATGAAAAGAAAGGTTAAACTCTGTGAGTTGAACAGCACATATCACAAAGCACTTTCTGAGAATGATCTGTCTGGTTATTATACGAAGATATTTCCTTTTCTGCAATTGTCCTCAAATCGCTTGAAATCTCCACCTGAAAATGCCACAGCAAGAGTGTTTCAAATCTGCTCTCTCTAAAGCAAGGTTCAACTCTGTGAGTTGAATACACACAACACAAAAAAGTTACTGAGAACTCTCTCTTAGTCTAGCATGAAAGGAAGAAACCCCGTTTGCAACGAAGGCCTCAAAGAGGTCCAAATATCCACTTGCAGACATAACAAGCAGAGTGTTTCTAAACTGCTCTAAGAAAAGAAAGGTTAAACTCTGTGAGTTGAAGGCACACATCACAAAGTAGTTTCTGAGAATGATTCTGTCTAGTTTTTATTTGAAGATATTTCCTTTTCTACTGTTGGCATCAAATCGCTTGAAATCTCCACTTGCAAACTCCACAAAAAGAGTGTTTCAAATCTGCTCTGTGTAAAGGGACGTTCCACTCTGTGAGTTGAATACACACAGCACAAAGAAGTTACTGAGAATTCTTCTGTCTAGCATGAAATGAAGAAATCCCGTTTCCAAGGAAGGCCTCAATGCGGTCCATATATCCACTTGCAGACTTTACAAACAGAGTGTTTCCAAACTGCTCTATGAAAAGAAAGGTTAAACTATGTGAGTTGAACGCACACATCACAAAGAATTTTCTGAGAATGATTCTGTCTGGTTTTTATTTGAAGATATTTCCCTTTCTACTGTTGGCATCAAATGGCTAGAAATCTCCACTTGCAAATTCCGCAAAAAGAGTGTTTCAAATCTGCTCTGTCTAAAGGGACGTTCCACTCTGTCAGTTGAATGCACACAACACAAAGAATTTACTGAGAATTCTTCCGTCTAGCATTCAATGAAGAAATCCCGTTTCCAACGAAGGCCTCAAACAGGTCCATATATCCACTTGCAGACTTTACAAACAGTGTGTTTCCAAACTCCTCTATGAAAAGAAAGGTTAAACTCTGTGAGTGGAACGCACACATCACAAAGCACTTTCTGAGAATGATTCTGTCTGGTTGTTATACGAAGATATTTCCTTTTCTGCAATTGTCCTCAAATCGCTTGAAATCTCCACCTGAAAATGCCACAGCAAGAGTGTTTCAAATCTGCTCTCTCTAAAGCAAGGTTCAACTCTGTGAGTTGAATACACACAACACAAAAAAGTTACTGAGAACTCTTCTTAGTCTAGCATGAAAGGAAGAAACCCCGTTTGCAACGAAGGCCTCAAAGAGGTCCAAATATCCACTTGCAGACATAACAAGCAGAGTGTTTCTAAACTGCTCTAAGAAAAGAAAGGTTAAACTCTGTGAGTTGAAGGCACACATCACAAAGTAGTTTCTGAGAATGATTCTGTCTAGTTTTTATTTGAAGATATTTCCTTTTCTACTGTTGGCATCAAATCGCTTGAAATCTCCACTTGCAAATTCCACAAAAAGAGTGTTTCAAATCTGCTCTGTGCAAAGGGACGTTCCACTCTGTGAGTTGAATACACACAGCACAAAGAAGTTACTGAGAATTCTTCTGTCTAGCATGAAATGAAGAAATCCCGTTTCCAACGAAGGCCTCAATGCGGTCCATATATCCACTTGCAGACTTTACAAACAGAGTGTTTCCAAACTGCTCTATGAAAAGAAAGGTTAAACTATGTGAGTTGAACGCACACATCACAAAGAATTTTCTGAGAATGATTCTGTCTGGTTTTTATTTGAAGATATTTCCCTTTCTAATGTTGGCATCAAATGGCTTGAAATCTCCACTTGCAAATTCCGCAAAAAGAGTGTTTCAAATCTGCTCTGTCTAAAGGGACGTTCCACTCTGTGAGTTGAATGCACACAACACCAAGAATTTACTGAGAATTCTTCCGTCTAGCATTCAATGAAGAAATCCCGTTTCCAACGAAGGCCTCAAACAGGTCCATATATCCACTTGCAGACTTTACAAGCAGTGTGTTTCCAAACTCCTCTATGAAAAGAAAGGTTAAACTCTGTGAGTTGAACGCACACATCACAAAGCACTTTCTGAGAATGATTCTGTCTGGTTGTTATACGAAGATATTTCCTTTTCTGCAATTGTCCTCAAATCGCTTGAAATCTCCACCTGAAAATGCCACAGCAAGAGTGTTTCAAATCTGCTCTCTCTAAAGCAAGGTTCAGCTCTGTGAGTTGAATACACACAACACAAAAAAGTTACTGAGAACTCTTCTTAGTCTAGCATGAAAGGAAGAAACCCCGTTTGCAACGAAGGCCTCAAAGAGGTCCAAATATCCACTTGCAGACATAACAAGCAGAGTGTTTCTAAACTGCTCTAAGAAAAGAAAGGTTAAACTCTGTGAGTTGAAGGCACACATCACAAAGTAGTTTCTGAGAATGATTCTGTCTAGTTTTTATTTGAAGATATTTCCTTTTCTACTGTTGGCATCAAATCGCTTGAAATCTCCACTTGCAAACTCCACAAAAAGAGTGTTTCAAATCTGCTCTGTGTAAAGGGACGTTCCACTCTGTGAGTTGAATACACACAGCACAAAGAAGTTACTGAGAATTCTTCTGTCTAGCATGAAATGAAGAAATCCCGTTTCCAACGAAGGCCTCAATGCGGTCCATATATCCACTTGCAGACTTTACAAACAGAGTGTTTCCAAACCGCTCTATGAAAAGAAAGGTTAAACTATGTGAGTTGAACGCACACATCACAAAGAATTTTCTGAGAATGATTCTGTCTGGTTTTTATTTGAAGATATTTCCCTTTCTACTGTTGGCATCAAATGGCTAGAAATCTCCACTTGCAAATTCCGCAAAAAGAGTGTTTCAAATCTGCTCTGTCTAAAGGGACGTTCCACTCTGTGAGTTGAATGCACACAACACAAAGAATTTACTGAGAATTCTTCCGTCTAGCATTCAATGAAGAAATCCCGTTTCCAACGAAGGCCTCAAACAGGTCCATATATCCACTTGCAGACTTTACAAACAGTGTGTTTCCAAACTCCTCTATGAAAAGAAAGGTTAAACTCTGTGAGTGGAACGCACACATCACAAAGCGCTTTCTGAGAATGATTCTGTCTGGTTATTATACGAAGATATTTCCTTTTCTGCAATTGTCCTCAAATCGCTTGAAATCTCCACCTGAAAATGCCACAGCAAGAGTGTTTCAAATCTGCTCTCTCTAAAGCAAGGTTCAACTCTGTGAGTTGAATACACACAACACAAAAAAGTTACTGAGAACTCTTCTTAGTCTAGCATTAAAGGAAGAAACCCCGTTTGCAACGAAGGCCTCAAAGAGGTCCAAATATCCACTTGCAGACATAACAAGCAGAGTGTTTCTAAACTGCTCTAAGAAAAGAAAGGTTAAACTCTGTGAGTTGAAGGTACACATCACAAAGTAGTTTCTGAGAATGATTCTGTCTAGTTTTTATTTGAAGATATTTCCTTTTCTACTGTTGGCATCAAATCGCTTGAAATCTCCACTTGCAAATTCCACAAAAAGAGTGTTTCAAATCTGCTCTGTGCAAAGGGACGTTCCACTCTGTGAGTTGAATACACACAGCACAAAGAAGTTACTGAGAATTCTTCTGTCTAGCATGAAATGAAGAAATCCCGTTTCCAACGAAGGCCTCAATGCGGTCCATATATCCACTTGCAGACTTTACAAACAGAGTGTTTCCAAACTGCTCTATGAAAAGAAAGGTTAAACTATGTGAGTTGAACGCACACATCACAAAGAATTTTCTGAGAATGATTCTGTCTGGTTTTTATTTGAAGATATTTCCCTTTCTACTGTTGGCATCAAATGGCTAGAAATCTCCACTTGCAAATTCCGCAAAAAGAGTGTTTCAAATCTGCTCTGTCTAAAGGGACGTTCCACTCTGTGAGTTGAATGAACACAACACAAAGAATTTACTGAGAATTCTTCCGTCTAGCAGTCAATGAAGAAATCCCGTTTCCAACGAAGGCCTCAAACAGGTCCATATATCCAATTGCAGACTTTACAAACAGTGTGTTTCCAAACTCCTCTATGAAAAGAAAGGTTAAACTCTGTGAGTTGAACGCACACATCACAAAGCACTTCCTGAGAATGATTCTGTCTGGTTGTTATACGAAGATATTTCCTTTTCTGCAATTGTCCTCAAATCGCTTGAAATCTCCACCTGAAAATGCCACAGCAAGAGTGTTTCAAATCTGCTCTCTCTAAAGCAAGGTTCAACTCTGTGAGTTGAATACACACAACACAAAAAAGTTACTGAGAACTCTTCTTAGTCTAGCATGAAAGGAAGAAACCCCGTTTGCAACGAAGGCCTCAAAGAGGTCCAAATATCCACTTGCAGACATAACAAGCAGAGTGTTTCTAAACTGCTCTAAGAAAAGAAAGGTTAAACTCTGTGAGTTGAAGGCACACATCACAAAGTAGTTTCTGAGAATGATTCTGTCTAGTTTTTATTTGAAGATATTTCCTTTTCTACTGTTGGCATCAAATCGCTTGAAATCTCCACTTGCAAACTCCACAAAAAGAGTGTTTCAAATCTGCTCTGTGTAAAGGGACGTTCCACTCTGTGAGTTGAATACACACAGCACAAAGAAGTTACTGAGAATTCTTCTGTCTAGCATGAAATGAAGAAATCCCGTTTCCAACGAAGGCCTCAATGCGGTCCATATATCCACTTGCAGACTTTACAAACAGAGTGTTTCCAAACTGCTCTATGAAAAGAAAGGTTAAACTATGTGAGTTGAACGCACACATCACAAAGAATTTTCTGAGAATGATTCTGTCTGGTTTTTATTTGAAGATATTTCCCTTTCTACTGTTGGCATCAAATGGCTAGAAATCTCCACTTGCAAATTCCGCCAAAAAGTGTTTCAAATCTGCTCTGTCTAAAGGGACGTTCCACTCTGTGAGTTGAATGCACACAACACAAAGAATTTACTGAGAATTCTTCCGTCTAGCATTCAATGAAGAAATCCCGTTTCCAACGAAGGCCTCAAACAGGTCCATATATCCAATTGCAGACATTACAAACAGTGTGTTTCCAAACTCCTCTATGAAAAGAAAGGTTAAACTCTGTGAGTTGAACGCACACATCACAAAGCACTTTCTGAGAATGATTCTGTCTGGTTATTATACGAAGATATTTCCTTTTCTGCAATTGTCCTCAAATCGCTTGAAATCTCCACCTGAAAATGCCACAGCAAGAGTGTTTCAAATCTGCTCTCTCTAAAGCAAGGTTCAACTCTGTGAGTTGAATACACACAACACAAAAAAGTTACTGAGAACTCTTCTTAGTCTAGCATTAAAGGAAGAAACCCCGTTTGCAACGAAGGCCTCAAAGAGGTCCAAATATCAACTTGCAGACATAACAAGCAGAGTGTTTCTAAGCTGCTCTCAGAAAAGAAAGGTTAAACTCGGTGAGTTGAAGGCACACATCACAAAGTAGTTTCTGAGAATGATTCTGTCTAGTTTTTATTTGAAGATATTTCCTTTTCTACTGTTGGCATCAAATCGCTTGAAATCTCCACTTGCAAACTCCACAAAAAGAGTGTTTCAAATCTGCTCTGTGCAAAGGGACGTTCCACTCTGTGAGTTGAATACACACAGCACAAAGAAGTTACTGAGAATTCTTCTGTCTAGCATGAAATGAAGAAATCCCGTTTCCAACGAAGGCCTCAATGCGGTCCATATATCCACTTGCAGACTTTACAAACAGAGTGTTTCCAAACTGCTCTATGAAAAGAAAGGTTAAACTATGTGAGTTGAACGCACACATCACAAAGAATTTTCTGAGAATGATTCTGTCTGGTTTTTATTTGAAGATATTTCCCTTTCTACTGTTGGCATCAAATGGCTAGAAATCTCCACTTGCAAATTCCGCAAAAAGAGTGTTTCAAATCTGCTCTGTCTAAAGGGACGTTCCACTCTGTGAGTTGAATGCACACCACACAAAGAATTTACTGAGAATTCTTCCGTCTAGCATTCAATGAAGAAATCCCGTTTCCAACGGAAGCCTCAAACAGGTCCATATATCCACTTGCAGACTTTACAAACAGTGTGTTTCCAAGCTCCTCTATGAAAAGAAAGGTTAAACTCTGTGAGTTGAACGCACACATCACAAAGCACTTTCTGAGAATGATTCTGTCTGGTTATTATACGAAGATATTTCCTTTTCTGCAATTGTCCTCAAATCGCTTGAAATCTCCACCTGAAAATTCCACAGCAAGAGTGTTTCAAATCTGCTCTCTCTAAAGCAAGGTTCAACTCTGTGAGTTGAATACACACAACACAAAAAAGTTACTGAGAACTCTTCTTAGTCTAGCATGAAAGGAAGAAACCCCGTTTGCAACGAAGGCCTCAAAGAGGTCCAAATATCCACTTGCAGACATAACAAGCAGAGTGTTTCTAAACTGCTCTAAGAAAAGAAAGGTTGAACTCTGTGAGTTGAAGGCACACATCACAAAGTAGTTTCTGAGAATGATTCTGTCTAGTTTTTATTTGAAGATATTTCCTTTTCTACTGTTGGCATCAAATCGCTTGAAATCTCCACTTGCAAACTCCACAAAAAGAGTGTTTCAAATCTGCTCTGTGCAAAGGGACGTTCCACTCTGTGAGTTGAATACACACAGCACAAAGAAGTTACTGAGAATTCTTCTGTCTAGCATGAAATGAAGAAATCCCGTTTCCAACGAAGGCCTCAATGCGGTCCATATATCCACTTGCAGACTTTACAAACAGAGTGTTTCCAAACTGCTCTATGAAAAGAAAGGTTAAACTATGTGAGTTGAACGCACACATCACAAAGAATTTTCTGAGAATGATTCTGTCTGGTTTTTATTTGAAGATATTTCCCTTTCTACTGTTGGCATCAAATGGCTAGAAATCTCCACTTGCAAATTCCGCAAAAAGAGTGTTTCAAATCTGCTCTGTCTAAAGGGACGTTCCACTCTGTGAGTTGAATGCACACAACACAAAGAATTTACTGAGAATTCTTCCGTCTAGCATTCAATGAAGAAATCCCGTTTCCAACGAAGGGCTCAAACAGGTCCATATATCCACTTGCAGACTTTACAAACAGTGTGTTTCCAAACTCGTCTATGAAAAGAAAAGTTAAACTCTGTGAGTTGAACGCACACATCACAAAGCACTTTCTGAGAATGATTCTGTCTGGTTATTATACGAAGATATTTCCTTTTCTGCAATTGTCCTCAAATCGCTTGAAATCTCCACCTGAAAATGCCACAGCAGGAGTGTTTCAAATCTGCTCTCTCTAAAGCAAGGTTCAACTCTGTGAGTTGAATACACACAACACAAAAAAGTTACTGAGAACTCTTCTTAGTCTAGCATGAAAGGAAGAAACCCCGTTTGCAACGAAGGCCTCAAAGAGGTCCAAATATCCACTTGCAGACATAACAAGCAGAGTGTTTCTAAACTGCTCTAAGAAAAGAAAGGTTAAACTCTGTGAGTTGAAGGCACACATCACAAAGTAGTTTCTGAGAATGATTCTGTCTAGTTTTTATTTGAAGATATTTCCTTTTCTACTGTTGGCATCAAATCGCTTGAAATCTCCACTTGCAAATTCCACAAAAAGAGTGTTTCAAATCTGCTCTGTGCAAAGGGACGTTCCACTCTGTGAGTTGAATACACACAGCACAAAGGAGTTACTGAGAATTCTTCTGTCTAGCATGAAATGAAGAAATCCCGTTTCCAACGAAGGCCTCAATGCGGTCCATATATCCACTTGCAGACTTTACAAACAGTGTGTTTCCAAACTGCTCTATGAAAAGAAAGGTTAAACTATGTGAGTTGAACGCACACATCACAAAGAATTTTCTGAGAATGATTCTGTCTGGTTTTTATTTGAAGATATTTCCCTTTCTACTGTTGGCATCAAATGGCTAGAAATCTCCACTTGCAAATTCCGCAAAAAGAGTGTTTCAAATCTGCTCTGTCTAAAGGGACGTTCCACTCTGTGAGTTGAATGCACACAACACAAAGAATTTACTGAGAATTCTTCCGTCTAGCATTCAATGAAGAAATCCCGTTTCCAACGAAGGCCTCAAACAGGTCCATATATCCACTTGCAGACTTTACAAACAGTGTGTTTCCAAACTCCTCTATGAAAAGAAAGGTTAAACTCTGTGAGTTGAACGCACACATCACAAAGCACTTTCTGAGAATGATTCTGTCTGGTTGTTATACGAAGATATTTCCTTTTCTGCAATTGTCCTCAAATCGCTTGAAATCTCCACCTGAAAATGCCACAGCAAGAGTGTTTCAAATCTGCTCTCTCTAAAGCAAGGTTCAACTCTGTGAGTTGAATACACACAACACAAAAAAGTTACTGAGAACTCTTCTTAGTCTAGCATGAAAGGAAGAAACCCCGTTTGCAACGAAGGCCTCAAAGAGGTCCAAATATCCACTTGCAGACATAACAAGCAGAGTGTTTCTAAAGTGCTCTAAGAAAAGAAAGGTTAAACTCTGTGAGTTGAAGGCACACATCACAAAGTAGTTTCTGAGAATGATTCTGTCTAGTTTTTATTTGAAGATATTTCCTTTTCTACTGTTGGCATCAAATCGCTTGAAATCTCCACTTGCAAACTCCACAAAAAGAGTGTTTCAAATCTGCTCTGTGCAAAGGGACGTTCCCCTCTGTGAGTTGAATACACACAGCACAAAGAAGTTACTGAGAATTCTTCTGTCTAGCATGAAATGAAGAAATCCCGTTTCCAACGAAGGCCTCAATGCGGTCCATATATCCACTTGCAGACTTTACAAACAGAGTGTTTCCAAACTGCTCTATGAAAAGAAAGGTTAAACTATGTGAGTTGAACGCACACATCACAAAGAATTTTCTGAGAATGATTCTGTCTGGTTTTTATTTGAAGATATTTCCCTTTCTACTGTTGGCATCAAATGGCTAGAAATCTCCACTTGCAAATTCCGCAAAAAGAGTGTTTCAAATCTGCTCTGTCTAAAGGGACGTTCCACTCTGTGAGTTGAATGCACACAACACAAAGAATTTACTGAGAATTCTTCCGTCTAGCATTCAATGAAGAAATCCCGTTTCCAACGAAGGCCTCAAACAGGTCCATATATCCAATTGCAGACTTTACAAACAGTGTGTTTCCAAACTCCTCTATGAAAAGAAAGGTTAAACTCTGTGAGTTGAACGCACACATCACAAAGCACTTTCTGAGAATGATCTGTCTGGTTATTATACGAAGATATTTCCTTTTCTGCAATTGTCCTCAAATCGCTTGAAATCTCCACCTGAAAATGCCACAGCAAGAGTGTTTCAAATCTGCTCTCTCTAAAGCAAGGTTCAACTCTGTGAGTTGAATACACACAACACAAAAAAGTTACTGAGAACTCTCTCTTAGTCTAGCATGAAAGGAAGAAACCCCGTTTGCAACGAAGGCCTCAAAGAGGTCCAAATATCCACTTGCAGACATAACAAGCAGAGTGTTTCTAAACTGCTCTATGAAAAGAAAGGTTAAACTCTGTGAGTTGAAGGCACACATCACAAAGTAGTTTCTGAGAATGATTCTGTCTAGTTTTTATTAGAAGATATTTCCTTTTCTACTGCTGGCATCAAATCGCTTGAAATCTCCACTTGCAAATTCCACAAAAAGAGTGTTTCAAATCTGCTCTGTCTAAAGGGACGTTCCACACTGTGAGTTGAATACACACAACACAAAGGAGTTACTGAGAATTCTTCTGTCTAGCATGAAATGAAGAAATCCCGTTTCCAACGAAGGCCTCAATGCGGTCCATATATCCACTTGCAGACTTTACAAACAGAGTGTTTCCAAACTGCTCTATGAAAAGAAAGGTTAAACTATGTGAGTTGAACGCACACATCACAAAGAATTTTCTGAGAATGATTCTGTCTGGTTTTTATTTGAAGATATTTCCCTTTCTACTGTTGGCATCAAATGGCTAGAAATCTCCACTTGCAAATTCCGCAAAAAGAGTGTTTCAAATCTGCTCTGTCTAAAGGGACGTTCCACTCTGTGAGTTGAATGCACACAACACAAAGAATTTACTGAGAATTCTTCCGTCTAGCATTCAATGAAGAAATCCCGTTTCCAACGAAGGCCTCAAACAGGTCCATATATCCACTTGCAGACTTTACAAACAGTGTGTTTCCAAACTCCTCTATGAAAAGAAAGGTTAAACTCTGTGAGTTGAACGCACACATCACAAAGCACTTTCTGAGAATGATTCTGTCTGGTTATTATACGAAGATATTTCCTTTTCTGCAATTGTCCTCAAAACGCTTGAAATCTCCACCTGAAAATGCCACAGCAAGAGTGTTTCAAATCTGCTCTCTCTAAAGCAAGGTTCAACTCTGTGAGTTGAATACACACAACACAAAAAAGTTACTGAGAACTCTTCTTAGTCTAGCATGAAAGGAAGAAACCCCGTTTGCAACGAAGGCCTCAAAGAGGTCCAAATATCCACTTGCAGACATAACAAGCAGAGTGTTTCTAAACTGCTCTAAGAAAAGAAAGGTTAAACTCTGTGAGTTAAAGGCACACATCACAAAGTAGTTTCTGAGAATGATTCTGTCTAGTTTTTATTTGAAGATGTTTCCTTTTCTACTGCTGGCATCAAATCGCTTGAAATCTCCACTTGCAAATTTCACAAAAAGAGTGTTTCAAATCTGCTCTGTCTAAAGGGACGTTCCACTCTGTGAGTTGAATACACACAACACAAAGAAGTTACTGAGAATTTTTCTGTCTAGCATGAAATGAAGAAATCCCGTTTCCAACGAAGGCCTCAATGCGGTCCATATATCCACTTGCAGACTTTACAAACAGAGTGTTTCCAAACTGCTCTATGAAAAGAAAGGTTAAACTATGTGAGTTGAAAGCACACATCACAAAGAATTTTCTGAGAATGATTCTGTCTGGTTTTTATTTGAAGATATTTCCCTTTCTACTGTTGGCAACAAATGGCTAGAAATCTCCACTTGCAAATTCCGCAAAAAGAGTGTTTCAAATCTGCTCTGTCTAAAGGGACGTTCCACTCTGTGAGTTGAATGCACACAACACAAAGAATTTACTGAGAATTCTTCCGTCTAGCATTCAATGAAGAAATCCCGTTTCCAACGTAGGCCTCAAACAGGTCCATATATCCAATTGCAGACTTTACAAACAGTGTGTTTCCAAACTCCTCTATGAAAAGAAAGGTTAAACTCTGTGAGTTGAACGCACACATCACAAAGCACTTTCTGAGAATGATTCTGTCTGGTTATTATACGAAGATATTTCCTTTTCTGCAATTGTCCTCAAATCGCTTGAAATCTCCACCTGAAAATTCCACAGCGAGAGTGTTTCAAATCTGCTCTCTCTAAAGCAAGGTTCAACTCTGTGAGTTGAATACACACAACACAAAAAAGTTACTGAGAACTCTTCTTAGTCTAGCATTAAAGGAAGAAACCCCTTTTGCAACGAAGGCCTCAAAGAGGTCCAAATATCCACTTGCAGACATAACAAGCAGAGTGTTTCTAAACTGCTCTAAGAAAAGAAAGGTTAAACTCTGTGAGTTGAAGGCACACATCACAAAGTAGTTTCTGAGAATGATTCTGTCTAGTTTTTATTTGAAGATATTTCATTTTCTACTGTTGGCATCAAATCGCTTGAAATCTCCACTTGCAAACTCCACAAAAAGAGTGTTTCAAATCTGCTCTGTGTAAAGGGACGTTCCACTCTGTGAGTTCAATACACACAGCACAAAGAAGTTACTGAGAATTCTTCTGTCTAGCATGAAAGGAAGAAATCCCGTTTCCAACGAAGGCCTCAATGCGGTCCATATATCCACTTGCAGACTTTACAAACAGAGTGTTTCCAAACTGCTCTATGAAAAGAAAGGTTAAACTATGTGAGTTGAACGCACACATCACAAAGAATTTTCTGAGAATGATTCTGTCTGGTTTTTATTTGAAGATATTTCCCTTTCTACTGTTGGCATCAAATGGCTAGAAATCTCCACTTGCAAATTCCGCAAAAAGAGTGTTTCAAATCTGCTCTGTCTAAAGGGACGTTCCACTCTGTGAGTTGAATGCACACAACACAAAGAATTTACTGAGAATTCTTCCGTCTAGCATTCAATGAAGAAATCCCGTTTCCAACGAAGGCCTCAAACAGGTCCATATATCCACTTGCAGACTTTACAAACAGTGTGTTTCCAAACTCCTCTATGAAAAGAAAGGTTAAACTCTGTGAGTGGAACGCACACATCACAAAGCACTTTCTGAGAATGATTCTGTCTGGTTATTATACGAAGATATTTCCTTTTCTGCAATTGTCCTCAAATCGCTTGAAATCTCCACCTGAAAATGCCACAGCAAGAGTGTTTCAAATCTGCTCTCTCTAAAGCAAGGTTCAACTCTGTGAGTTGAATACACACAACACAAAAAAGTTACTGAGAACTCTTCTTAGTCTAGCATGAAAGGAAGAAACCCCGTTTGCAACGAAGGCCTCAAAGAGGTCCAAATATCCACTTGCAGACATAACAAGCAGAGTGTTTCTAAACTGCTCTAAGAAAAGAAAGGTTAAACTCTGTGAGTTGAAGGCACACATCACAAAGTAGTTTCTGAGAATGATTCTGTCTAGTTTTTATTTGAAGATATTTCCTTTTCTACTGTTGGCATCAAATCGCTTGAAATCTCCACTTGCAAACTCCACAAAAAGAGTGTTTCAAATCTTCTCTGTGTAAAGGGACGTTCCACTCTGTGAGTTGAATACACACAGCACAAAGAAGTTACTGAGAATTCTTCTGTCTAGCATGAAATGAAGAAATCCCGTTTCCAACGAAGGCCTCAATGCGGTCCATATATCCACTTGCAGACTTTACAAACAGAGTGTTTCCAAACTGCTCTATGAAAAGAAAGGTTAAACTATGTGAGTTGAACGCACACATCACAAAGAATTTTCTGAGAATGATTCTGTCTGGTTTTTATTTGAAGATATTTCCCTTTCTACTGTTGGCATCAAATGGCTAGAAATCTCCACTTGCAAATTCCGCAAAAAGAGTGTTTCAAATCTGCTCTGTCTAAAGGGACGTTCCACTCTGTGAGTTGAATGCACACAACACAAAGAATTTACTGAGAATTCTTCCGTCTAGCATTCAATGAAGAAATCCCGTTTCCAACGAAGGCCTCAAACAGGTCCATATATCCACTTGCAGAGTTTACAAACAGTGTGTTTCCAAACTCCTCTATGAAAAGAAAGGTTAAACTCTGTGAGTGGAACGCACACATCACAAAGCACTTTCTGAGAATGATTCTGTCTGGTTATTATACGAAGATATTTCCTTTTCTGCAATTGTCCTCAAAACGATTGAAATCTCCACCTGAAAATGCCACAGCAAGAGTGTTTCAAATCTGCTCTCTCTAAAGCAAGGTTCAACTCTGTGAGTTGAATACACACAACACAGAAAAGTTACTGAGAACTCTTCTTAGTCTAGCATGAAAGGAAGAAACCCCGTTTGCAACGAAGGCCTCAAAGAGGTCCAAATATCCACTTGCAGACATAACAAGCAGAGTGTTTCTAAACTGCTCTAAGAAAAGAAAGGTTAAACTCTGTGAGTTGAAGGCACACATCACAAAGTAGTTTCTGAGAATGATTCTGTCTAGTTTTTATTTGAAGATATTTCCTTTTCTACTGTTGGCATCAAATCGCTTGAAATCTCCACTTGCAAACTCCACAAAAAGAGTGTTTCAAATCTGCTCTGTGTAAAGGGACGTTCCACTCTGTGAGTTGAATACACACAGCACAAAGAAGTTACTGAGAATTCTTCTGTCTAGCATGAAATGAAGAAATCCCGTTTCCAACGAAGGCCTCAATGCGGTCCATATATCCACTTGCAGACTTTACAAACAGAGTGTTTCCAAACTGCTCTATGAAAAGAAAGGTTAAACTATGTGAGTTGAACGCACACATCACAAAGAATTTTCTGAGAATGATTCTGTCTGGTTTTTATTTGAAGATATTTCCCTTTCTACTGTTGGCATCAAATGGCTAGAAATCTCCACTTGCAAATTCCGCAAAAAGAGTGTTTCAAATCTGCTCTGTCTAAAGGGACGTTCCACTCTGTGAGTTGAATGCACACAACACAAAGAATTTACTGAGAATTCTTCCGTCTAGCAGTCAATGAAGAAATCCCGTTTCCAACGAAGGCCTCAAACAGGTCCATATATCCAATTGCAGACTTTAGAAACAGTGTGTTTCCAAACTCCTCTATGAAAAGAAAGGTTAAACTCTCTGAGTTGAACGCACACATCACAAAGCACTTTCTGAGAATGATTCTGTCTGGTTATTATACGAAGATATTTCCTTTTCTGCAATTGTCCTCAAATCGCTTGAAATCTCCACCTGAAAATGCCACAGCAAGAGTGTTTCAAATCTGCTCTCTCTAAAGCAAGGTTCAACTCTGTGAGTTGAATACACACAACACAAAAAAGTTACTGAGAACTCTTCTTAGTCTAGCATGAAAGGAAGAAACCCCGTTTGCAACGAAGGCCTCAAAGAGGTCCAAATATCCACTTGCAGACATAACAAGCAGAGTGTTTCTAAACTGCTCTAAGAAAAGAAAGGTTAAACTCTGTGAGTTGAAGGCACACATCACAAAGTAGTTTCTGAGAATGATTCTGTCTAGTTTTTATTTGAAGATATTTCCTTTTCTACTGTTGGCATCAAATCGCTTGAAATCTCCACTTGCAAATTCCACAAAAAGAGTGTTTCAAATCTGCTCTGTGCAAAGGGACGTTCCACTCTGTGAGTTGAATACACACAGCACAAAGAAGTTACTGAGAATTCTTCTGTCTAGCATGAAATGAAGAAATCCCGTTTCCAACGAAGGCCTCAATGCGGTCCATATATCCACTTGCAGACTTTACAAACAGAGTGTTTCCAAACCGCTCTATGAAAAGAAAGGTTAAACTATGTGAGTTGAACGCACACATCACAAAGAATTTTCTGAGAATGATTCTGTCTGGTTTTTATTTGAAGATATTTCCCTTTCTACTGTTGGCATCAAATGGCTAGAAATCTCCACTTGCAAATTCCGCAAAAAGAGTGTTTCAAATCTGCTCTGTCTAAAGGGACGTTCCACTCTGTGAGTTGAATGCACACAACACAAAGAATTTACTGAGAATTCTTCCGTCTAGCATTCAATGAAGAAATCCCGTTTCCAACGAAGGCCTCAAACAGGTCCATATATCCACTTGCAGACTTTACAAACAGTGTGTTTCCAAACTCCTCTATGAAAAGAAAGGTTAAACTCTGTGAGTGGAACGCACACATCACAAAGCACTTTCTGAGAATGATTCTGTCTGGTTATTATACGAAGATATTTCCTTTTCTGCAATTGTCCTCAAATCGCTTGAAATCTCCACCTGAAAATGCCACAGCAAGAGTGTTTCAAATCTGCTCTCTCTAAAGCAAGGTTCAACTCTGTGAGTTGAATACACACAACACAAAAAAGTTACTGAGAACTCTTCTTAGTCTAGCATGAAAGGAAGAAACCCCGTTTGCAACGAAGGCCTCAAAGAGGTCCAAATATCCACTTGCAGACATAACAAGCAGAGTGTTTCTAAACTGCTCTAAGAAAAGAAAGGTTAAACTCTGTGAGTTGAAGGCACACATCACAAAGTAGTTTCTGAGAATGATTCTGTCTAGTTTTTATTTGAAGATATTTCCTTTTCTACTGTTGGCATCAAATCGCTTGAAATCTCCACTTGCAAATTCCACAAAAAGAGTGTTTCAAATCTGCTCTGTGCAAAGGGACGTTCCACTCTGTGAGTTGAATACACACAGCACAAAGAAGTTACTGAGAATTCTTCTGTCTAGCATGAAATGAAGAAATCCCGTTTCCAACGAAGGCCTCAATGCGGTCTATATATCCACTTGCAGACTTTACAAACAGAGTGTTTCCAAACTGCTCTATGAAAAGAAAGGTTAAACTATGTGAGTTGAACGCACACATCACAAAGAATTTTCTGAGAATGATTCTCTGTCTAGTTTTTATTTGAAGATATTTCCCTTTCTATTGTTGGCATCAAATGGCTTGAAATCTCCACTTCCAAATTTCGTAAAAAGACTGTTTCAAATCTGCTCTGTCTAAAGGGACGTTCCACTCGGTGAGTTGAATGCACACAACACAAAGAATTTACTGAGAATTCTTCTGTCTAGCATTCAATGAAGAAATCCCGTTTCCAAGGAATGCCTCAAAGCGGTACATATATCCACTTGCAGATTTTACAAACAGTGTGTTTCGAAACTGCTCTATGAAAAGAAAGGTTAAACTATGTGAGCTGAACGCACACATCACAAAGAATTTTCTGAGAATGATTCTGTCTAGTTTTTATTTGAAGATATTTCCTTTTCAACTGTTGGCATCAAATCGCTTGAATTCTCCACTTTTAAATTCCACAAAAAGAGTGTTTCAAAACTGCTCTGTGTAATGGGACATTCCATTCTGTCAGTTGAATACACACAACACAAAGAAGTTACTGAGAATTCTTCTGTCTAGCATGAAATTAAGAAATTCCGTTTCCAACGAAGTCCTCAAAGCGGTCCATATATCCACTTGCAGACATTACCAACAGAGTGTTTCCAAACTGGTCTATGAAAAGAAAGGTTAAACTATGTGAGTTGAACGCACACATCACAAAGAATTTTCTGAGGATGATTCTGTCTAGTTTTTATTTGAAGATATTTCCCTTTCTACCGTTGGCATCAAATGGCTAGAAATCTCCAATTGCAAATTCCGCAAAAAGAGTGTTTCAAATCTGCTCTGTCTAAAGGGACGTTCCACTCTGTGAGTTGAATGCACACAACACAAAGAATTTACTGAGAATTCTTCCGTCTAGCATTCAATGAAGAAATCCCGTTTCCAACGAAGGCCTCAAACAGGTCCATATATCCACTTGCAGACTTTACAAACAGTGTGTTTCCAAACTCCTCTGTGAAAAGAAAGGTTAAACTCTGTGAGTTGAACGCACACATCACAAAGCACTTTCTGAGAATGATTCTGTCTGGTTATTATACGAAGATATTTCCTTTTCTGCAATTGTCCTCAAATCGCTTGAAATCTCCACCTGAAAATGCCACAGCAAGAGTGTTTCAAATCTGCTCTCTCTAAAGCAAGGTTCAACTCTGTGAGTTGAATACACACAACACAAAAAAGTTACTGAGAACTCTTCTTAGTCTAGCATTAAAGGAAGAAATCCCGTTTGCAACGAAGGCCTCAAAGAGGTCCAAATATCCACTTGCAGACATAAGCAGCAGAGTGTTTCTAAACTGCTCTAAGAAAAGAAAGGTTAAACTCTGTGAGTTGAAGGCACACATCACAAAGTAGTTTCTGAGAATGATTCTTTCTAGTTTTTATTTGCAGATATTTCCTTTTCTACTGTTGGCATCAAATCGCTTGAAATCTCCACTTGCAAATTCCACAAAAAGAGTGTTTCAAATCTGCTCTGTGTAAAGGGACGTTCCACTCTGTGAGTTGAATACACACAGCACAAAGAAGTTACTGAGAATTCTTCTGTCTAGCATGAAATGAAGAAATCCCGTTTCCAACGAAGGCCTCAATGCGGTCCATATATCCACTTGCAGACTTTACAAACAGAATGTTTCCAAACTGCTCTATGAAAAGAAAGGTTAAACTATGTGAGTTGAACGCACACATCACAAAGAATTTTCTGAGAATGATTCTGTCTGGTTTTTATTTGAAGATATTTCCCTTTCTACTGTTGGCATCAAATGGCTAGAAATCTCCACTTGCAAATTCCGCAAAAAGAGTGTTTCAAATCTGCTCTGTCTAAAGGGACGTTCCACTCTGTGAGTTGAATGCACACAACACAAAGAATTTACTGAGAATTCTTCCGTCTAGCATTC
Source organism: Homo sapiens (assembly GCF_000001405.40). Classification (NCBI taxonomy): domain Eukaryota; kingdom Metazoa; phylum Chordata; class Mammalia; order Primates; family Hominidae; genus Homo; species Homo sapiens. The sequence continues at coordinate 58,206,074 of NC_000007.14, read as the reverse complement.
AATGAAGAAATCCCGTTTCCAACGAAGGCCTCAAACAGGTCCATATATCCACTTGCAGACTTTACAAACAGTGTGTTTCCAAACTCCTCTATGAAAAGAAAGGTTAAACTCTGTGAGTTGAACGCACACATCACAAAGCACTTTCTGAGAATGATTCTGTCTGGTTATTATACGAAGATATTTCCTTTTCTGCAATTATCCTCAAATCGCTTGAAATCTCCACCTGAAAATGCCACAGCAAGAGTGTTTCAAATCTGCTCTCTCTAAAGCAAGGTTCAACTCTGTGAGTTGAATACACACAACACAAAAAAGTTACTGAGAACTCTTCTTAGTCTAGCATGAAAGGAAGAAACCCCGTTTGCAACGAAGGCCTCAAAGAGGTCCAAATATCCACTTGCAGACATAACAAGCAGAGTGTTTCTAAACTGCTCTAAGAAAAGAAAGGTTAAACTCTGTGAGTTGAAGGCACACATCACAAAGTAGTTTCTGAGAATGATTCTGTCTAGTTTTTATTTGAAGATATTTCCTTTTCTACTGTTGGCATCAAATCGCTTGAAATCTCCACTTGCAAATTCCACAAAAAGAGTGTTTCAAATCTGCTCTGTGCAAAGGGACGTTCCACTCTGTGAGTTGAATACACACAGCACAAAGAAGTTACTGAGAATTCTTCTGTCTAGCATGAAATGAAGAAATCCCGTTTCCAACGAAGGCCTCAATGCGGTCCATATATCCACTTGCAGACTTTACAAACAGAGTGTTTCCAAACTCCTCTATGAAAAGAAAGGTTAAACTCTGTGAGTTGAACACGCACATCACAAAGCACTTTCTGAGAATGATTCTGTCTGGTTATTATACGAAGATATTTCCTTTTCTGCAATTGTCCTCAAATCGCTTGAAATCTCCACATGAAAATGCCACAGCAAGAGTGTTTCAAATCTGCTCTCTCTAAAGCAAGGTTCAACTCTGTGAGTTGAATACACACAACACAAAAAAGTTACTGAGAACTCTTCCGTCTAGCATTCAATGAAGAAATCCCGTTTCCAACGAAGGCCTCAAACAGGTCCATATATCCAATTGCAGACTTTACAAACAGTGTGTTTCCAAACTCCTCTATGAAAAGAAAGGTTAAACTCTGTGAGTTGAACGCACACATCACAAAGCACTTTCTGAGAATGATTCTGTCTGGTTATTATACGAAGATATTTCCTTTTCTGCAATTGTCCTCAAATCGCTTGAAATCTCCACCTGAAAATGCCACAGCAAGAGTGTTTCAAATCTGCTCTCTCTAAAGCAAGGTTCAACTCTGTGAGTTGAATACACACAACACAAAAAAGTTACTGAGAACTCTTCTTAGTCTAGCATGAAAGGAAGAAACCCCGTTTGCAACGAAGGCCTCAAAGAGGTCCAACTATCCACTTGCAGACATAACAAGCAGAGTGTTTCTAAACTGCTCTAAGAAAAGAAAGGTTAAACTCTGTGAGTTGAAGGCACACATCACAAAGTAGTTTCTGAGAATGATTCTGTCTAGTTTTTATTTGAAGATATTTCCTTTTCTACTGTTGGCATCAAATCGCTTGAAATCTCCACTTGCAAATTCCACAAAAAGAGTGTTTCAAATCTGCTCTGTGCAAAGGGACGTTCCACTCTGTGAGTTGAATACACACAGCACAAAGAAGTTACTGAGAATTCTTCTGTCTAGCATGAAATGAAGAAATCCCGTTTCCAACGAAGGCCTCAATGCGGTCCATATATCCACTTGCAGACTTTACAAACAGAGTGTTTCCAAACTGCTCTATGAAAAGAAAGGTTAAACTATGTGAGTTGAACGCACACATCACAAAGAATTTTCTGAGAATGATTCTGTCTGGTTTTTATTTGAAGATATTTCCCTTTCTACTGTTGGCATCAAATGGCTAGAAATCTCCACTTGCAAATTCCGCAAAAAGAGTGTTTCAAATCTGCTCTGTCTAAAGGGACGTTCCACTCTGTGAGTTGAATGCACACAACACAAAGAATTTACTGAGAATTCTTCTGCCTAGCATTCAATGAAGAAATCCCGTTTCCAACGAAGGCCTCAAACAGGTCCATATATCCAATTGCAGACTTTACAAACAGTGTGTTTCCAAACTCCTCTATGAAAAGAAAGGTTAAACTCTGTGAGTTGAACGCACACATCACAAAGCACTTTCTGAGAATGATTCTGTCTGGTTATTATACGAAGATATTTCCTTTTCTGCAATTGTCCTCAAATCGCTTGAAATCTCCACCTGAAAATGCCACAGCAAGAGTGTTTCAAATCTGCTCTCTCTAAAGCAAGGTTCAACTCTGTGAGTTGAATACACACAACACAAAAAAGTTACTGAGAACTCTTCTTAGTCTAGCATGAAAGGAAGAAACCCCGTTTGCAACGAAGGCCTCAAAGAGGTCCAAATATCCACTTGCAGACATAACAAGCAGAGTGTTTCTAAACTGCTCTAAGAAAAGAAAGGTTAAACTCTGTGAGTTGAAGGCACACATCACAAAGTAGTTTCTGAGAATGATTCTGTCTAGTTTTTATTAGAAGATATTTCCTTTTCTACTGCTGGCATCAAATCGCTTGAAATCTCCACTTGCAAATTCCACAAAAAGAGTGTTTGAAATCTGCTCTGTCTAAAGGGACGTTCCACACTGTGAGTTGAATACACACAACACAAAGGAGTTACTGAGAATTCTTCTGTCTAGCATGAAATGAAGAAATCCCGTTTCCAACGAAGGCCTCAATGCGGTCCATATATCCACTTGCAGACTTTACAAACAGAGTGTTTCCAAACTGCTCTATGAAAAGAAAGGTTAAACTATGTGAGTTGAACGCACACATCACAAAGAATTTTCTGAGAATGATTCTGTCTGGTTTTTATTTGAAGATATTTCCCTTTCTACTGTTGGCATCAAATGGCTAGAAATCTCCACTTGCAAATTCCGCAAAAAGAGTGTTTCAAATCTGCTCTGTCTAAAGGGACGTTCCACTCTGTCAGTTGAATGCACACAACACAAAGAATTTACTGAGAATTCTTCCGTCTAGCATTCAATGAAAAATCCCGTTTCCAACGAAGGCCTCAAACAGGTCCATATATCCAATTGCAGACTTTACAAACAGTGTGTTTCCAAACTCCTCTATGGAAAGAAAGGTTAAACTCTGTGAGTTGAACGCACACATCACAAAGCACTTTCTGAGAATGATTCTGTCTGGTTATTATACGAAGATATTTCCTTTTCTGCAATTGTCCTCAAATCGCTTGAAATCTCCACCTGAAAATGCCACAGCAAGAGTGTTTCAAATCTGCTCTCTCTAAAGCAAGGTTCAACTCTGTGAGTTGAATACACACAACACAAAAAAGTTACTGAGAACTCTTCTTAGTCTAGCATGAAAGGAAGAAACCCCGTTTGCAACGAAGGCCTCAAAGAGGTCCAAATATCCACTTGCAGACATAACAAGCAGAGTGTTTCTAAACTGCTCTAAGAAAAGAAAGGTTAAACTCTGTGAGTTGAAGGCACACATCACAAAGTAGTTTCTGAGAATGATTCTGTCTAGTTTTTATTTGAAGATATTTCCTTTTCTACTGCTGGCATCAAATCGCTTGAAATCTCCACTTGCAAACTCCACAAAAAGAGTGTTTCAAATCTGCTCTGTGTAAAGGGACGTTCCACTCTGTGAGTTGAATACACACAGCACAAAGAAGTTACTGAGAATTCTTCTGTCTAGCATGAAATGAAGAAATCCCGTTTCCAACGAAGGCCTCAATGCGGTCCATATATCCACTTGCAGACTTTACAAACAGAGTGTTTCCAAACTGCTCTATGAAAAGAAAGGTTAAACTATGTGAGTTGAACGCACACATCACAAAGAATTTTCTGAGAATGATTCTGTCTGGTTTTTATTTGAAGATATTTCCCTTTCTACTGTTGGCATCAAATGGCTAGAAATCTCCACTTGCAAATTCCGCAAAAAGAGTGTTTCAAATCTGCTCTGTCTAAAGGGACGTTCCACTCTGTGAGTTGAATGCACACAACACAAAGAATTTACTGAGAATTCTTCCGTCTAGCATTCAATGAAGAAATCCCGTTTCCAACGAAGGCCTCAAACAGGTCCATATATCCAATTGCAGACTTTACAAACAGTGTGTTTCCAAACTCCTCTATGAAAAGAAAGGTTAAACTCTGTGAGTTGAACGCACACATCACAAAGCACTTTCTGAGAATGATTCTTTCTGGTTATTATACGAAGATATTTCCTTTTCTGCAATTGTCCTCAAATCGCTTGAAATCTCCACCTGAAAATGTCACAGCAAGAGTGTTTCAAATCTGCTCTCTCTAAAGCAAGGTTCAACTCTGTGAGTTGAATACACACAACACAAAAAAGTTACTGAGAACTCTTCTTAGTCTAGCATTAAAGGAAGAAACCCCGTTTGCAACGAAGGCCTCAAAGAGGTCCAAATATCCACTTGCAGACATAACAAGCAGAGTGTTTCTAAACTGCTCTAAGAAAAGAAAGGTTAAACTCTGTGAGTTGAAGGCACACATCACAAAGTAGTTTCTGAGAATGATTCTGTCTAGTTTTTATTTGAAGATATTTCCTTTTCTACTGTTGGCATCAAATCGCTTGAAATCTCCACTTGCAAACTCCACAAAAAGAGTGTTTCAAATCTGCTCTGTCTAAAGGGACGTTCCACTCTGTGAGTTGAATGCACACAACACAAAGAATTTACTGAGAATTCTTCCGTCTAGCATTCAATGAAGAAATCCCGTTTCCAACGAAGGCCTCAATGCGGTCCATATATCCACTTGCAGACTTTACAAACAGTGTGTTTCCAAACTCCTCTATGAAAAGAAAGTTTAAACTCTGTGAGTTGAACGCACACATCACAAAGCACTTTCTGAGAATGATTCTGTCTGGTTATTATACGAAGATATTTCCTTTTCTGCAATTGTCCTCAAATCGCTTGAAATCTCCACCTGAAAATGCCACAGCAAGAGTGTTTCAAATCTGCTCTCTCTAAAGCAAGGTTCAACTCTGTGAGTTGAATACACACAACACAAAAAAGTTACTGAGAACTCTTCTTAGTCTAGCATGAAAGGAAGAAACCCCGTTTGCAACGAAGGCCTCAAAGAGGTCCAAATATCCACTTGCAGACATAACAAGCAGAGTGTTTCTAAACTGCTCTAAGAAAAGAAAGGTTAAACTCTGTGAGTTGAAGGCACACATCACAAAGTAGTTTCTGAGAATGATTCTGTCTAGTTTTTATTTGAAGATATTTCCTTTTCTACTGTTGGCATCAAATCGCTTGAAATCTCCACTTGCAAACTCCACAAAAAGAGTGTTTCAAATCTGCTCTGTGTAAAGGGACGTTCCACTCTGTGAGTTGAATACACACAGCACAAAGAAGTTACTGAGAATTCTTCTGTCTAGCATGAAATGAAGAAATCCCGTTTCCAACGAAGGCCTCAATGCGGTCCATAGATCCACTTGCAGACTTTACAAACAGAGTGTTTCCAAACTGCTCTATGAAAAGAAAGGTTAAACTATGTGAGTTGAACGCACACATCACAAAGAATTTTCTGAGAATGATTCTGTCTGGTTTTTATTTGAAGATATTTCCCTTTCTACTGTTGGCATCAAATGGCTAGAAATCTCCACTTGCAAATTCCGCAAAAAGAGTGTTTCAAATCTGCTCTGTCTAAAGGGACGTTCCACTCTGTGAGTTGAATGCACACAACACAAAGAATTTACTGAGAATTCTTCCGTCTAGCATTCAATGAAGAAATCCCGTTTCCAACGAAGGCCTCAAACAGGTCCATATATCCACTTGCAGACTTTACAAACAGTGTGTTTCCAAACTCCTCTATGAAAAGAAAGGTTAAACTCTGTGAGTGGAACGCACACATCACAAAGCACTTTCTGAGAATGATTCTCTCTGGTTATTATACGAAGATATTTCCTTTTCTGCAATTGTCCTCAAATCGCTTGAAATCTCCACCTGAAAATGCCACAGCAAGAGTGTTTCAAATCTGCTCTCTCTAAAGCAAGGTTCAACTCTGTGAGTTGAATACACACAACACAAAAAAGTTACTGAGAACTCTTCTTAGTCTAGCATGAAAGGAAGAAACCCCGTTTGCAACGAAGGCCTCAAAGAGGTCCAAATATCCACATGCAGACATAACAAGCAGAGTGTTTCTAAACTGCTCTAAGAAAAGAAAGGTTAAACTATGTGAGTTGAACGCACACATCACAAAGAATTTTCTGAGAATGATTCTGTCTGGTTTTTATTTGAAGATATTTCCCTTTCTACTGTTGGCATCAAATGGCTAGAAATCTCCACTTGCAAATTCCGCAAAAAGAGTGTTTCAAATCTGCTCTGTCTAAAGGGACGTTCCACTCTGTGAGTTGAATGCACACAACACAAAGAATTTACTGAGAATTCTTCCGTCTAGCATTCAATGAAGAAATCCCGTTTCCAACGAAGGCCTCAAACAGGTCCATATATCCACTTGCAGACTTTACAAACAGTGTGTTTCCAAACTCCTCTATGAAAAGAAAGGTTAAACTCTGTGAGTGGAACGCACACATCACAAAGCACTTTCTGAGAATGATTCTGTCTGGTTATTATACGAAGATATTTCTTTTTCTGCAATTGTCCTCAAATCGCTTGAAATCTCCACCTGAAAATGCCACAGCAAGAGTGTTTCAAATCTGCTCTCTCTAAAGCAAGGTTCAACTCTGTGAGTTGAATACACACAACACAAAAAAGTTACTGAGAACTCTTCTTAGTCTAGCATGAAAGGAAGAAACCCCGTTTGCAACGAAGGCCTCAAAGAGGTCCAAATATCCACTTGCAGACATAACAAGCAGAGTGTTTCTAAAGTGCTCTAAGAAAAGAAAGGTTAAACTCTGTGAGTTGAAGGCACACATCACAAAGTAGTTTCTGAGAATGATTCTGTCTAGTTTTTATTTGAAGATGTTTCCTTTTCTACTGCTGGCATCAAATCGCTTGAAATCTCCACATGCAAATTCCACAAAAAGAGTGTTTCAAATCTGCTCTGTCTAAAGGGACGTTCCACTCTGTGAGTTGAATACACACCACACAAAGAACTTACTGAGAATTTTTCTGTCTAGCATGAAATGAAGAAATCCCGTTTCCAACGAAGGCCTCAATGCGGTCCATATATCCACTTGCAGACTTTACAAACAGAGTGTTTCCAAACTGCTCTATGAAAAGAAAGGTTAAACTATGTGAGTTGAACGCACACATCACAAAGAATTTTCTGAGAATGATTCTGTCTGGTTTTTATTTGAAGATATTTCCCTTTCTACTGTTGGCATCAAATGGCTAGAAATCTCCACTTGCAAATTCCGCAAAAAGAGTGTTTCAAATCTGCTCTGTCTAAAGGGACGTTCCACTCTGTGAGTTGAATGCACACAACACAAAGAATTTACTGAGAATTCTTCCGTCTAGCATTCAATGAAGAAATCCCGTTTCCAACGAAGGCCTCAAACAGGTCCATATATCCACTTGCAGACTTTACAAACAGTGTGTTTCCAAACTCCTCTATGAAAAGAAAGGTTAAACTCTGTGAGTTGAACGCACACATCACAAAGCACTTTCTGAGAATGATTCTGTCTGGTTATTATACGAAGATATTTCCTTTTCTGCAATTGTCCTCAAATCGCTTGAAATCTCCACCTGAAAATGCCACAGCAAGAGTGTTTCAAATCTGCTCTCTCTAAAGCAAGGTTCAACTCTGTGAGTTGAATACACACAACACAAAAAAGTTACTGAGAACTCTCCTTAGTCTAGCATTAAATGAAGAAATCCCATTTGCAATGAAGGCCTCAAAGACGTCCTAATATCCACTTGCAGAAATAACAAGCAGAGTGTTTCTAAACTGCTCTAAGAAAAGAAAGGTTAAACTCTGTGAGTTGAAGGCACAGATCTCAAAGTAATTTCTGAGAATGATTCTGTCTAGTTTTTATTTGAAGATATTTCCTTTCCTACTGTTGGCATCAAATCGCTTGTAATCTCCACTTGTAAACTCCACAAAAAGAGTGTTTCAAATCTGCTCTGTGCAAAGGGACGTTCCACTCTGTGAGTTGAATACACACAGCACAAAGAAGTTACTGAAAATTCTTCTGTCTAGCATGAAATGAAGAAATCCCGTTTCCAACGAAGGCCTCAATGCGGTCCATATATCCACTTGCAGACTTTACAAACAGAGTGTTTCCAAACTGCTGTATGAAAAGAAAGGTTAAACTATGTGAGTTGAACGCACACATCACAAAGAATTTTCTGAGAATGATTCTGTCTGGTTTTTATTTGAAGATGTTTCCCTTTCTACTGTTGGCATCAAATGGCTAGAAATCTCCACTTGCAAATTCCGCAAAAAGAGTGTTTTAAATCTGCTCTGTCTAAAGTGACGTTCCACTCTGTCAGTTGAATGCACACAACACAAAGAATTTACTGAGAATTCTTCCGTCTAGCATTCAATGAAGAAATCCCGTTTCCAACGGAGGCCTCAAACAGGTCCATATATCCAATTGCAGACTTTACAAACAGTGTGTTTCCAAGCTCCTCTATGAAAAGAAAGGTTAAACTCTGTGAGTTGAACGCACACATCACAAAGCACTTTCTGAGAATGATTCTGTCTGGTTATTATACGAAGATATTTCCTTTTCTGCAATTGTCCTCAAATCGCTTGAAATCTCCACCTGAAAATTCCACAGCAAGAGTGTTTCAAATCTGCTCTCTCTAAAGCAAGGTTCAACTCTGTGAGTTGAATACACACTACACAAAAAAGTTACTGAGAACTCTTCTTAGTCTAGCATTAAAGGAAGAAACCCCGTTTGCAACGAAGGCCTCAAAGAGGTCCAAATATCCACTTGCAGACATAACAAGCAGAGTGTTTCTAAACTGCTCTAAGAAAAGAAAGGTTAAACTCTGTGAGTTGAAGGCACACATCACAAAGTAGTTCCTGAGAATGATTCTGTCTAGTTTTTATTTGAAGATACTTCCTTTTCTACTGTTGGCATCAAATCGCTTGAAATCTCCACTTGCAAACTCCACAAAACGAGTGTTTCAAATCTGCTCTGTGCAAAGGGACGTTCCACTCTGTGAGTTGAATACACACAGCACAAAGAAGTTACTGAGAATTCTTCTGTCTAGCATGAAATGAAGAAATCCCGTTTCCAACGAAGGCCTCAATGCGGTCCATATATCCACTTGCAGACTTTACAAACAGAGTGTTTCCAAACTGCTCTATGAAAAGAAAGGTTAAACTATGTGAGTTGAACGCACACATCACAAAGAATTTTCTGAGAATGATTCTGTCTGGTTTTTATTTGAAGATATTTCCCTTTCTACTGTTGGCATCAAATGGCTAGAAATCTCCACTTGCAAATTCCGCAAAAAGAGTGTTTCAAGTCTGCTCTGTCTAAAGGGACGTTCCACTCTGTGAGTTGAATGCACACAACACAAAGAATTTACTGAGAATTCTTCCGTCTAGCATTCAATGAAGAAATCCCGTTTCCAAAGAAGGCCTCAAACAGGTCCATATATCCAATTGCAGACTTTAGAAACAGTGTGTTTCCAAACTCCTCTATGAAAAGAAAGGTTAAACTCTGTGAGTTGAACGCACACATCACAAAGCACTTTCTGAGAATGATTCTGTCTGGTTATTATACGAAGATATTTCCTTTTCTGCAATTGTCCTCAAATCGCTTGAAATCTCCACCTGAAAATGCCACAGCAAGAGTGTTTCAAATCGGCTCTCTCTAAAGCAAGGTTCAACTCTGTGAGTTGAATACACACAACACAAAAAAGTTACTGAGAACTCTTCTTAGTCTAGCATTAAAGGAAGAAATCCCGTTTGCCACGAAGGCCTCAAAGAGGTCCAAATATCCACTTGCAGACATAACAAGCAGAGTGTTTCTAAACTTCTCTAAGAAAAGAAAGGTTAAACTCTGTGAGTTGAAGCACACATCACAAAGTAGTTTCTGAGAATGATTCTGTCTAGTTTTTATTTGAAGATATTTCCTTTTCTACTGTTGGCATCAAATCGCTTGAAATCTCCACTTGCAAACTCCACAAAAAGAGTGTTTCAAATCTGCTCTGTGTAAAGGGACGTTCCACTCTGTGAGTTGAATACACACAGCACAAAGAAGTTACTGAGAATTCTTCGGTCTAGCATGAAATGAAGAAATCCCGTTTCCAACGAAGGCCTCAATGCGGTCCATATATCCACTTGCAGACTTTACAAACAGAGTGTTTCCAAACTGCTCTATGAAAAGAAAGGTTAAACTATGTGAGTTGAACGCACACATCACAAAGAATTTTCTGAGAATGATTCTGTCTGGTTTTTATTTGAAGATATTTCCCTTTCTACTGTTGGCATCAAATGGCTAGAAATCTCCACTTGCAAATTCCGCAAAAAGAGTGTTTCAAATCTGCTCTGTCTAAAGGGACGTTCCACTCTGTGAGTTGAATGCACACAACACAAAGAATTTACTGAGAATTCTTCCGTGTAGCATTCAATGAAGAAATCCCGTTTCCAACGAAGGCCTCAAAGCGGTCCATATATCCACTTGCAGACTTTACAAACAGTGTGTTTCCAAACTCCTCTATGAAAAGAAAGGTTAAACTCTGTGAGTTGAACGCACACATCACAAAGCACTTTCTGAGAATGATTCTGTCTGGTTATTATACGAAGATATTTCCTTTTCTGCAATTGTCCTCAAAACGCTTGAAATCTCCACCTGAAAATGCCACAGCAAGAGTGTTTCAAATCTGCTCTCTCTAAAGCAAGGTTCAACTCTGTGAGTTGAATACACACAACACAAAAAAGTTACTGAGAACTCTTCTTAGTCTAGCATGAAAGGAAGAAACCCCGTTTGCAAGGAAGGCCTCAAAGAGGTCCAAATATCCACTTGCAGACATAACAAGCAGAGTGTTTCTAAACTGCTCTAAGAAAAGAAAGGTTAAACTCTGTGAGTTGAAGGCACACATCACAAAGTAGTTTCTGAGAATGATTCTGTCTAGTTTTTATTTGAAGATATTTCCTTTTCTACTGTTGGCATCAAATCGCTTGAAATCTCCACTTGCAAATTCCACAAAAAGAGTGTTTCAAATCTTCTCTGTGTAAAGGAACGTTCCACTCTGTGAGTTGAATACACACAGCACAAAGAAGTTACTGAGAATTCTTCTGTCTAGCATGAAATGAAGAAATCCCGTTTCCAACGAAGGCCTCAATGCGGTCCATATATCCACTTGCAGACTTTACAAACAGAGTGTTTCCAAACTGCTCTATGAAAAGAAAGGTAAAACTATGTGAGTTGAACGCACACATCACAAAGAATTTTCTGAGAATGATTCTGTCTGGTTTTTATTTGAAGATATTTCCCTTTCTACTGTTGGCATCAAATGGCTAGAAATCTCCACTTGCAAATTCCGCAAAAAGAGTGTTTCAAATCTGCTCTGTCTAAAGGGACGTTCCACTCTGTGAGTTGAATGCACAAAACACAAAGAATTTACTGAGAATTCTTCCGTCTAGCATTCAATGAAGAAATCCCGTTTCCAAAGAAGGCCTCAAACAGGTCCATATATCCAATTGCAGACTTTACAAACAGTGTGTTTCCAAACTCCTCTATGAAAAGAAAGGTTAAACTCTGTGAGTTGAACGCACACATCACAAAGCACTTTCTGAGAATGATTCTGTCTGGTTATTATACGAAGATATTTCCTTTTCTGCAATTGTCCTCAAATCGCTTGAAATCTCCACCTGAAAATTCCACAGCAAGAGTGTTTCAAATCTGCTCCCTCTAAAGCAAGTTTCAACAATGTGAGTTGAATACACACAACACAAAAAAGTCACTGAGAACTCTTCTTAGTCTAGCATTAAATGATGAAATCCCGTTTGCAACGAAGGCCTCAAAGAGGTCCAAATATCCACTTGCAGACATTACAAGCAGAGTGTTTCTAAACTGCTCTAAGAAAAGAAAGGTTAAACTGTATGAGTTGATGGCACACATCACAAAGTAGTTTCTGAGAATAATTCTGTCTAGTTTTTATTTGAAGATATTTCCTTTTCTACTGTTGGCATCAAATCGCTTGAAATCTCCACTTGCAAACTCCACAAAAAGAGTGTTTCAAATCCGCTCTGTGCAAAGGGACGTTCCACTCTGTGAGTTGAATACACACAGCACAAAGAAGTTACTGAGAATTCTTCTGTCTAGCATAAAATGAAGAAATCCCGTTTCCAACGAAGTCCTCAAAGAGGTCCATGTATCCACTTGCAGACATTACAAACAGAGTGTTTCTAAACTGCTCTATGAAAGGAAAGGTTAAACTATGCGAGTTGAACGCACACATCACAAAGAATTTTCTGAGAATTTTTCTGTCTGGTTTTTATTTGAAGATATTTCCCTTTCTACTGTTGGCATCAAATGGCTAGAAATCTCCACTTGCAAATTCCGCAAAAAGAGTGTTTCAAATCTGCTCTGTCTAAAGGGACGTTCCACTCTGTCAGTTGAATGCACACAACACAAAGAATTTACTGAGAATTCTTCCGTCTAGCATTCAATGAAGAAATCCCGTTTCCAACGAAGGCCTCAAACAGGTCCATATATCCAATTGCAGACTTTACAAACAGTGTGTTTCCAAACTCCTCTATGGAAAGAAAGGTTAAACTCTGTGAGTTGAACGCACACATCACAAAGCACTTTCTGAGAATGATTCTGTCTGGTTATTATACGAAGATATTTCCTTTTCTGCAATTGTCCTCAAATCGCTTGAAATCTCCACCTGAAAATGCCACAGCAAGAGTGTTTCAAATCTGCTCTCTCTAAAGCAAGGGTCAACTCTGTGAGTTGAATACACACAACACAAAAAAGTTACTGAGAACTCTTCTTAGTCTAGCATGAAAGGAAGAAACCCCGTTTGCAACGAAGGCCTCAAAGAGGTCCAAATATCCACTTGCAGACATAACAAGCAGAGTGTTTCTAAACTGCTGCTAAGAAAAGAAAGGTTAAACTCTGTGAGTTGAAGGCACACATCACAAAGTAGTTTCTGAGAATGATTCTGTCTAGTTTTTATTTGAAGATATATCCTTTTCAACTGTTGGTATCAAATCTCTTGAAGTCTCCACTTTTAAATTCCACAAAAAGAGTGTTTCAAAACTGCTCTGTGTAATGGGACATTCCAATCTGTCAGTTGAATACACACAACACAAAGAAGTTACTGAGAATTCTTCTGTCTAGCATGAAATTAAGAAATCCCGTTTCCAACGAAGTCCTCAAAGCGGTCCATATATCCACTTGCAGACATTACCAACAGAGTGTTTCCAAACTGGTCTATGAAAAGAAAGGTTAAACTATGTGAGTTGAACGCACACATCACAAAGAATTTTCTGAGGATGATTCTGTCTGGTTTTTATTTGAAGATATTTCCCTTTCTACTGTTGGCATCAAATGGCTAGAAATCTCCAGTTGCAAATTCCGCAAAAAGAGTGTTTCAAATCTGCTCTGTCTAAAGGGACGTTCCACTCTGTGAGTTAAATGCACACAACACAAAGAATTTACTGAGAATTCTTCCGTCTAGCATGCAATGAAGAAATCCCGTTTCCAACGAAGGCCTCAAACAGGTCCATATATCCAATTGCAGACTTTACAAACAGTGTGTTTCCAAACTCCTCTATGAAAAGAAAGGTTAAACTCTGTGAGTTGAACGCACACATCACAAAGCACTTTCTGAGAATGATTCTGTCTGGTTGTTATACGAAGATATTTCCTTTTCTGTAATTGTCCTCAAATCGCTTGAAATCTCCACCTGAAAATGCCACAGCAAGAGTGTTTCAAATCTGCTCTCTCTAAAGCAAGGTTCAACTCTGTGAGTTGAATACACACAACACAAAAAAGTTACTGAGAACTCTTCTTAGTCTAGCATGAAAGGAAGAAACCCCGTTTGCAATGAAGGCCTCAAAGAGGTCCAAATATCCACTTGCAGACATAACAAGCAGAGTGTTTCTAAACTGCTCTAAGAAAAGAAAGGTTAAACTCTGTGAGTTGAAGGCACACATCACAAAGTAGTTTCTGAGAATGATTCTGTCTAGTTTTTATTTGAAGATATTTCCTTTTCTACTGTTGGCATCAAATCGCTTGAAATCTCCACTTGCAAACTCCACAAAAAGAGTGTTTCAAATCTGCTCTGTGTAAAGGGACGTTCCACTCTGTGAGTTGAATACACACAGCACAAAGAAGTTACTGAGAATTCTTCTGTCTAGCATGAAATGAAGAAATCCCGTTTCCAACGAAGGCCTCAATGCGGTCCATATATCCACTTGCAGACTTTACAAACAGAGTGTTTCCAAACTGCTCTATGAAAAGAAAGGTTAAACTATGTGAGTTGAACGCACACATCACAAAGAATTTTCTGAGAATGATCTGTCTAGTTTTTATTTGAAGATATTTCCCTTTCTACTGTTGGCATCCAATGGCTAGAAATCTCCACTTGCAAATTCCGCAAAAAGAGTGTTTCAAATCTGCTCTGTCTAAAGGGACGTTCCACTCTGTGAGTTGAATGCACACAACACAAAGAATTTACTGAGAATTCTTCCGTCTAGCATTCAATGAAGAAATCCCGTTTCCAACGAAGGCCTCAAACAGGTCCATATATCCAATTGCAGACTTTACAAACAGTGTGTTTCCAAACTCCTCTATGAAAAGAAAGGTTAAACTCTGTGAGTGGAACGCACACATCACAAAGCACTTTCTGAGAATGATTCTGTCTGGTTGTTATACGAAGATATTTCCTTTTCTGCAATTGTCCTCAAATCGCTTGAAATCTCCACCTGAAAATGCCACAGCAAGAGTGTTTCAAATCTGCTCTCTCTAAAGCAAGGTTCAACTCTGTGAGTTGAATACACACAACACAAAAAAGTTACTGAGAACTCTTCTTAGTCTAGCATTAAAGGAAGAAACGCCGTTTGCAACGAAGGCCTCAAAGAGGTCCAAATATCCACTTGCAGACATAACAAGCAGAGTGTTTCTAAAGTGCTCTAAGAAAAGAAAGGTTAAACTCTGTGAGTTGAAGGCACACATCACAAAGTAGTTTCTGAGAATGATTCTGTCTAGTTTTTATTTGAAGATATTTCCTTTTCTACTGTTCGCATCAAATCGCTTGAAATCTCCACTTGCAAACTCCACAAAAAGAGTGTTTCAAATCTGCTCTGTGTAAAGGGACGTTCCACTCTGTGAGTTGAATACACACAGCACAAAGAAGTTACTGAGAATTCTTCTGTCTAGCCTGAAATGTAGCAATCCCGTTTCCAACGAAGGCCTCAATGCGGTCCATATATCCACTTGCAGACTTTACAAACAGAGTGTTTCCAAACTGCTCTATGAAAAGAAAGGTTAAACTATGTGAGTTGAACGCACACATCACAAAGAATTTTCTGAGAATGATTCTGTCTAATTTTTATTTGAAGATATTTCCCTTTCTACTGTTGGCATCAAATGGCTAGAAATCTCCACTTGCAAATTCCGCAAAAAGTGTGTTTCAAATGTGCTCTGTCTAAAGGGACGTTCCACTCTGTGAGTTGAATGCACACAACACAAAGAATTAACTGAGAATTCTTCCGTTTAGCATTATATGATAAAATCCCGTTTCCAAAGAAGGCCTCAAACAGGTCCATATATCCAATTGCAGACTTTACAAACAGTGTGTTTCCAAACTCCTCTATGAAAAGAAAGGTTAAACTCTGTGAGTTCAACGCACACATCACAAAGCACTTTCTGAGAATGATTCTGTCTGGTTTTCATACGAAGATATTTCCTTTTCTGCAATTGTCCTCAAATCGCTTGAAATCTCCACCTGAAAATTCCACAGCAAGAGTGTTTCAAATCTGCTCTCTCTAAAGCAAGGTTCAATTCTGTGAGTTGAATACACACAACACAAATAAGTTACTGAGAACTCTTCTGTCTAGCATTAAATGAAGAAATCCCGTTTGCAACGAAGGCCTCAAAGAGGTCCAAATATCCACTTGCAGACATTACAAGCAGAGTGTTTCTAAACTGCTCTAAGAAAAGTTAAACTCTGTGAGTTGAATGCATACCTCACAAAGTGGTTTCTGTTAATTACTCTGTCTAGTTTTTATTTGAAGATATTTCCTTTTCTACTGTTGGCATCAAATCGCTTGAAATCTCCACTTGCAAATTCCACAAAAAGAGTGTTTCAAATCTGCTCTGTGCAAAGGGACGTTCCAGTCTGTGAGTTGAATACACACAGCACAGAGAAGTTACTGAGAATTCTTCTGTCTAGCATGAAATGAAGAAATCCCGTTTCCAACGAAGGCCTCAATGCGGTCCATAGATCCACTTGCAGACTTTACAAACAGAGTGTTTCCAAACTGCTGTATGAAAAGAAAGGTTAAACTATGTGAGTTGAACGCACACATCACAAAGAATTTTCTGAGAATGATTCTGTCTGGTTTTTATTTGAAGATATTTCCCTTTCTACTGTTGGCATCAAATGGCTAGAAATCTCCACTTGCAAACTCCGCAAAAAGAGTGTTTCAAATCTGCTCTGTCTAAAGGGACGTTCCACTCTGTGAGTTGAATGCACACAACACAAAGAATTTACTGAGAATTCTTCCGTCTAGCATTCAATGAAGAAATCCCGTTTCCAACGAAGGCCTCAAACACGTCCATATATCCACTTGCAGAGTTTACAAACAGTGTGTTTCCAAACTCCTCTATGAAAAGAAAGGTTAAACTCTGTGAGTTGAACGCACACATCACAAAGCACTTTCTGAGAATGATTCTGTCTGGTTTTTATACGAAGATATTTCCTTTTCTGCAATTGTCCTCAAATCACTTGAAATCTCCAAATGAAAATTCCACAGCAAGTGTGTTTCAAATCTGCTCTCTCTAAAGCAAGTTTCAACTCTGTGAGTTGAATACACACAATACAAATAAGTTACTGAGAATTCTTCTGTCTACCATTAAATGAAGAAATACCGTTTCCAGCGAAGGCCTGAAAGAGGTCCAAATATGCACTTGCAGACATTACACACAGACTGTTTCCAAACTGCTCTATGAAAAGAAAGGTTAAACTATGTGAGTTGCACGCACACATCACAAAGTAGTTTCTGAGAATGATTCTGTCTAGTTTTTATTTGAAGATATTTCCTTTTCTACGGTTGGCATCAAATCGCTTGAAATCTCCACTTGCAAACTCCACAAAAAGAGTGTTTCAAATCTGCTCTGTGTAAAGGGACGTTCCACTCTGTGAGTTGAATACACACAGCACAAAGAAGTTACTGAGTATTCTTCTGACTAGCATTAAATGAAGAAATCCCGTTTCCAACGAATGCCTCAAAGCGGTCCTTTTATCCACTTGCAGATTTTTCAAACAGTGTGTTTCCAAACTGCTCTATGAAAACAAAGGTTAAACTATGTGAGCTAAACGCACACATCACAAAGAATTTTCTGAGAAGGATTCCGTCTAGCAATATATGAAAAAATCCCATATCCAATGAAGGCCTCAAAGAGGTCCAAATATGCACTTGCAGATTTTACAAACAGTGTGTTTCCAAACTCCTCTATGAAAAGAAAGGTTAAACTCTGTGAGTTGAACGCACACATCACAAAGCACTTTCTGAGAATGATTCCATCTAGCATTCAATGAAGAAATCCCGTTTCCAACGAAGGCCTCAAACAGGTCCATATATCCAATTGCAGACTTTACAAACAGTGTGTTTCCAAACTCCTCTATGAAAAGAAAGGTTAAACTCTGTGAGTTGAATGCACACATCACAAAGCACATTCTGAGAATGATTCTGTGTAGTTTTTATTTGAAGATATTTCCTTTTCTACTGTTGGCATCAAATCGCTTGAAATCTCCACTTGCAAATTCCACAAAAAGAGTGTTTCAAATCTGCTCTGTGTAAGGGGACGTTCCAATCTGTGAGTTGAATACACACAACAGAAAGAACTTACTGAGAATTCTTCTTAGTCTAGCATTAAAGGAAGAAACCCCGTTTGCAACGAAGGCCTCAAAGAGGTCCAAATATCCACTTGCAGACATAACAAGCAGAGTGTTTCTAAACTGCTCTATGAAAAGAAAGGTTAAACTCTGTGAGTTGAAGGCACACATCACAAAGTAGTTTCTAAATGATTCTGTCTAGTTTTTATTTGAAGCATATTTCCTTTTCTACTGTTGGCATCAAATCGCTTGAAATCTCCACTTGCAAACTCCACAAAAAGAGTGTTTCAAATCTGCTCTGTGTAAAGGGACGTTCCACTCTGTGAGTTGAATACACACAGCACAAAGAAGTTACTGAGAATTCTTCTGTCTAGCATTCAATGAAGAAATCCCGTTTCCAAGGAATGCCTGAAAGCGGTACATATATCCACTTGCAGATTTTACAACCAGTGTGTTTCGAAACTGCTCTATGAAAAGAAAGGTTAAACTATGTGAGCTGAATGCACACATCACAAAGAATTTTCTGAGAATGATTCTGTCTGGTTTTTATTTGAAGATATTTCCCTTTCTACTGTTGGCATCAAATGGCTAGAAATCTCCACTTGCAAATTCCGCAAAAAGAGTGTTTCAAATCTGCTCTGTCTAAAGGGACGTTACACTCTGTGAGTTGAATGCACACAACACAAAGAATTTACTGAGAATTCTTCCGTCTAGCATTCAATGAAGAAATCCCGTTTCCAACGAAGGCCTCAAACAGGTCCATATATCCAATTGCAGACTTTACAAACAGTGTGTTTCCAAACTCCTCTATGGAAAGAAAGGTTAAACTCTGTGAGTTGAACGCAGACATCACAAAGCACTTTCTGAGAGTGATTCTGTCTGGTTTTTATACGAAGATATTTGCTTTTCTGCAATTGTCCTCAAATCGCTTGAAATTTCCACCTGAAAATTCCACAGCAAGAGTATATCAAATCTGCTCTCTCTAAAGCAAGGTTCAACTCTGTGAGTTGAATACACACAACTCAAAGAAGTTACTGAGAATTCTTCTGTCTAGCATTAAACGAAGAAATCCCGTTGCCAACGAAGGTCTCAAAGCGGTCCATATATCCACTTGCAGACTTTACAAACAGAGTTTTTCCAAACTGCTCTATGAAAAGAAAGGCTAAACTCTGTGTTTTCAACGCACACATCACAAAGCACTTTCTGAGAATGATTCTGTCTGGTTTTTATACGAAGATATTTCATTTTCTGCAATTGTCCTCAAATCGCTTGAAATCTCCACCTGAAAATGCCACAGCAAGAGTGTTTCAAATCTGCTCTCTCTTAAGCAAGGTTCAACTCTGTGAGTTGAATACACACAACACAAAAAAGTTACTGAGAACTCTTCTGTCTAGCATGAAATGAAGAAATCCTGTTTCCAACGAAGGCCTAAAAGCGGTCCATATATCCACTTGCAGACATTACCAACAGAGTGTTTCCAAACTGCTCTATGAAAAGAAAGGTTAAACTATGTGAGTTGAACGCACACATCACAAAGAATTTTCTGAGGATGATTCTGTCTGGTTTTTATTTGAAGATATTTCCCTTTCTACTGTTGGCATCAAATGGCTAGAAATCTCCACTTGCAAATTCCGCAAAAAGAGTGTTTCAAATCTGCTCTGTCTAAAGGGACGTTCCACTCTGTGAGTTGAATGCACACAACACAAAGAAGTTACTGAGAATTCTTCTGTCTAGCATGAAATGAAGAAATCCCGTTTCCAACGAAGGCCTCAATGCGGTCCATATATCCACTTGCAGACTTTACAAACAGTGTGTTTCCAAACTCCTCTATGAAAAGAAAGGTTAAACTCTGTGAGTGGAACGCACACATCACAAAGCACTTTCTGAGAATGATTCTGTCTGGTTATTATACGAAGATATTTCCTTTTCTGCAATTGTCCTCAAAACGCTTGAAATCTCCACCTGAAAATGCCACAGCAAGAGTGTTTCAAATCTGCTCTCTCTAAAGCAAGGTTCAACTCTGTGAGTTGAATACACACAACACAAAAAAGTTACTGAGAACTCTTCTTAGTCTAGCATTAAAGGAAGAAACCCCGTTTGCAACGAAGGCCTCAAAGAGGTCCAAATATCCACTTGCAGACATAACAAGCAGAGTGTTTCTAAACTGCTCTAAGAAAAGAAAGGTTAAACTCTGTGAGTTGAAGGCACACATCACAAAGTAGTTTCTGAGAATGATTCTGTCTAGTTTTTATTTGAAGATATTTCCTTTTCTACTGTTGGCATCAAATCGCTTGAAATCTCCACTTGCAAATTCCACAAAAACAGTGTTTCAAATCTGCTCTGTGCAAAGGGACGTTCCACTCTGTGAGTTGAATACACACAGCACAAAGAAGTTACTGAGAATTCTTCTGTCTAGCATGAAATGAAGAAATCCCGTTTCCAACGAAGGCCTCAATGCGGTCCATATATCCACTTGCAGACTTTACAAACAGAGTGTTTCCAAACTGCTCTATGAAAAGAAAGGTAAAACTATGTGAGTTGAACGCACACATCACAAAGAATTTTCTGAGAATGATTCTGTCTGGTTTTTATTTGAAGATATTTCCCTTTCTACTGTTGGCATCAAATGGCTAGAAATCACCACTTGCAAATTCCGCAAAAAGAGTGTTTCAAATCTGCTCTGTCTAAAGGGACGTTCCACTCTGTGAGTTGAATGCACACAACACAAAGAATTTACTGAGAATTCTTCCGTCTAGCATTCAATGAAGAAATCCCGTTTCCAAAGAAGGCCTCAAACAGGTCCATATATCCAATTGCAGACTTTACAAACAGTGTGTTTCCAAACTCCTCTATGAAAAGAAAGGTTAAACTCTGTGAGTTGAACGCACACATCACAAAGCACTTTCTGAGAATGATTCTGTCTGGTTATTATAGGAAGATATTTCCTTTTCTGCAATTGTCCTCAAATCGCTTGAAATCTCCACCTGAAAATGCCACAGCCAGAGTGTTTCAAATCTGCTCTCTCTAAAGCAAGGTTCAACTCTGTGAGTTGAATACACACAACACAAAAAAGTTACTGAGAACTCTTCTTAGTCTAGCATTAAATGGAGAAACCCCGTTTGTAACGAAGGCCTCAAAGAGGTCCAAATATCCACTTGCAGACATAACAAGCAGAGTGTTTCTAAACTGCTCTAAGAAAAGTAAGGTTAAAATCTGTGAGTTGAAGGCACACTTCACAAAGAAGTTTCTGAGAATTATTCTGTCTAGTTTTTATTTGAAGATATTTACATTTCTACTGTTGGCATCAAATCGCTTGAAATCTCCACATGCAAATTCCACAAGAAGAGTGTTTCAAATCTGCTCTGTGTAAAGGGACGTTCCACTCTGTGAGTTGAATACACACAGCACAAAGAAGTTACTGAGAATTCTTCTGTCTAGCATGAAATGAAGAAATCCCGTTTCCAACGAAGGCCTGAATGCGGTCCATATATCCACTTGCAGACTTTACAAACAGAGTGTTTCCAAACTGCTCTATGAAAAGAAAGGTTAAACTATGAGAGTTGAACGCACACATCACAAAGAATTTTCTGAGAATGATTCTGTCTGGTTTTTATTTGAAGATATTTCCCTTTCTACTGTTGGCATCAAATGGCTAGAAATCTCCACTTGCAAATTCCGCAAAAAGAGTGTTTCAAATCTGCTCTGTCTAAAGGGACGTTCCACTCTCTGAGTTGAATGCACACAACACAAAGAATTTACTGAGAATTCTTCCGTCTAGCATTCAATGAAGAAATCCCGTTTCCAACGGAGGCCTCAAACAGGTCCATATATCCAATTGCAGACTTTACAAACAGTGTGTTTCCAAACTCCTCTATGAAAAGAAAGGTTAAACTCTGTGAGTTGAACGCACACATCACAAAGCACTTTCTGAGAATGATTCTGTCTGGTTATTATACGAAGATATTTCCTTTTCTGCAATTGTCCTCAAATCGCTTGAAATCTCCACCTGAAAATGCCACAGCAAGAGTGTTTCAAATCTGCTCTCTCTAAAGCAAGGTTCAACTCTGTGAGTTGAATACACAAAACACAAAAAAGTTACTGAGAACTCTTCTTAGTCTAGCATTAAAGGAAGAAACCCCGTTTGCAACAAAGGCCTCAAAGAGGTCCAAATATCCACTTGCAGACATAACAAGCAGAGTGTTTCTAAACTGCTCTAAGAAAAGAAAGGTTAAACTCTGTGAGTTAAAGGCACACATCACAAAGTAGTTTCTGAGAATGATTCTGTCTAGTTTTTATTTGAAGAATTTCCTTTTCTACTGTTGGCATCAAATCGCTTGAAATCTCCACTTGCAAACTCCACAAAAAGAGTGTTTCAAATCTGCTCTGTGCAAAGGGACGTTCCACTCTGTGAGTTGAATACACACAGCACAAAGAAGTTACTGAGAATTCTTCTGTCTAGCATGAAATGAAGAAATCCCGTTTCCAACGAAGTCCTCAAAGCGGTCCATATATCCACTTGCAGACATTACCAACAGAGTGTTTCCAAACTGGTCTATGAAAAGAAAGGTTAAACTATGTGAGTTGAACGCACACATCACAAAGAATTTTCTGAGGATGATTCTGTCTAGTTTTTATTTGAAGATATTTCCCTTTCTACCGTTGGCATCAAATGGCTAGAAATCTCCACTTGCAAATTCTGCAAAAAGAGTGTTTCAAATCTGCTCTGTGTAAAGGGACGTTGCACTCTGTGAGTTGAATACACACAGCACAAAGAAGTTACTGAGAATTCTTCCGTCTAGCATTCAATGAAGAAATCCCGTTTCCAACGGAGGCCTCAAACAGGTCCATATATCCAATTGCAGACTTTACAAACAGTGTGTTTCCAAGCTCCTCTATGAAACGAAAGGTTAAACTCTGTGAGTTGAACGCACACATCACAAAGCACTTTCTGAGAATGATTCTGTCTGGTTATTATACGAAGATATTTCCTTTTCTGCAATTGTCCTCAAATCGCTTGAAATCTCCACCTGAAAATTCCACAGCAAGAGTGTTTCAAATCTGCTCTCTCTAAAGCAAGGTTCAACTCTGTGAGTTGAATACACACAACACAAAAAAGTTACTGAGAACTCTTCTTAGTCTAGCATTAAAGGAAGAAACCCCGTTTGCAACGAAGGCCTCAAAGAGGTCCAAATATCCACTTGAAGACATAACAAGCAGAGTGTTTCTAAACTGCTCTAAGAAAAGAAAGGTTAAACTCTGTGAGTTGAAGGCACACATCACAAAGTAGTTCCTGAGAATGATTCTGTCTAGTTTTTATTTGAAGATATTTCCTTTTCTACTGTTGGCATCAAATCGCTTGAAATCTCCACTTGCGAATTCCACAAAAAGAGTGTTTCAAATCTGCTCTGTCTAAAGGGAGGTTCCACTCTGTGAGTTGAATGCACACAACACAAAGAATTTAGGGAGAATTCTTCTGTCTAGCATGAAATGAAGAAATCCCGTTTCCAACGAAGGCCTCAATGCGGTCCATATATGCACTTGCAGACTTTACAAACAGAGTGTTTCCAAACTGCTCTATGAAAAGAAAGGTTAAACTCTGTGAGTTGAACGCACACATCACAAAGCACTTTCTGAGAATGATTCTGTCTGGTTTTTATTTGAAGATGTTTCCCTTTCTACTGTTGGCATCAAATGGCTAGAAATCTCCACTTGCAAATTCCGCAAAAAGAGTGTTTCAAATCTGCTCTGTCTAAAGGGACGTTCCACTCTGTGAGTTGAATGCACACAACAGAAAGAATTTACTGAGAATTCTTCCGTCTAGCATTCAATGAAGAAATCCCGTTTCCAACGAAGGCCTCAAACAGGTCCATATATCCACTTGCAGACTTTACAAACAGTGTGTTTCCAAACTCCTCTATGAAAAGAAAGGTTAAACTCTGTGAGTTGAACGCACACATCACAAAGCACTTTCTGAGAATGATTCTGTCTGGTTATTATACGAAGATATTTCCTTTTCTGCAATTGTCCTCAAATCGCTTGAAATCTCCACCTGAAAATGCCACAGCAAGAGTGTTTCAAATCTGCTCTCTCTAAAGCAGGGTTCAACTCTGTGAGTTGAATACACACAACACAAAAAAGTTACTGAGAACTCTTCTTAGTCTAGCATGAAAGGAAGAAACCCCGTTTGCAACGAAGGCCTCAAAGAGGTCCAAATATCAACTTGCAGACATAACAAGCAGAGTGTTTCTAAGCTGCTCTAAGAAAAGAAAGGTTAAACTCTGTGAGTTGAAGGCACACATCACAAAGTAGTTTCTGAGAATGATTCTGTCTAGTTTTTATAGGAAGATATTTCCTTTTCTACTGTTGGCATCAAATCGCTTGAAATCTCCACTTGCAAACTCCACAAAAAGAGTGTTTCAAATCTGCTCTGTGCAAAGGGACGTTCCACTCTGTGAGTTGAATACACACAGCACAAAGAAGTTACTGAGAATTCTTCTGTCTAGCATGAAATGAAGTAAATCCCGTTTCCAACGAAGGCCTCAATGCGGTCCATATATCCACTTGCAGACTTTACAAACAGAGTGTTTCCAAACTGCTCTATGAAAAGAAAGGTTAAACTATGTGAGTTGAATGCACACATCACAAAGAATTTTCTGAGAATGATTCTGCCTGGTTTTTATTTGAAGATATTTCCCTTTCTACTGTTGGCATCAAATGGCTAGAAATCTCCATTTGCAAATTCCGCAAAAAGAGTGTTTCAAATCTGCTCTGTCTAAAGGGACGTTCCACTCTGTGAGTTGAATGCACACAACACAAAGAATTTACTGAGAATTCTTCCGTCTAGCATTCAATGAAGAAATCCCGTTTCCAACGAAGGCCTCAAACAGGTCCATATATCCACTTGCAGACTTTACAAACAGTGTGTTTCCAAACTCCTCTATGAAAAGAAAGGTTAAACTCTGTGAGTGGAACGCACACATCACAAAGCACTTTCTGAGAATGATTCTGTCTGGTTATTATACGAAGATATTTCCTTTTGTGCAATTGTCCTCAAATCGCTTGAAATCTCCACCTGAAAATGCCACAGCAAGAGTGTTTCAAATCTGCTCTCTCTAAAGCAAGGTTTAACTCTGTGAGTTGAATACACACAACACAAAAAAGTTACTGAGAACTCTTCTTAGTCTAGCATTAAAGGAAGAAATCCCGTTTGCAACGAAGGCCTCAAAGAGGTCCAAATATCCACTTGCAGACATAAGAAGCAGAGTGTTTCTAAACTGCTCTAAGAAAAGAAAGGTTAAACTCTGTGAGTTGAAGGCACACATCACAAAGAAGTTTCTGAGAATGATTCTGTCTAGTTTTTATTTGAAGATATTTCCTTTTCTACTGTTGGCATCAAATCGCTTGAAATCTCCACTTGCAAACTCCACAAAAAGAGTGTTTCAAATCTGCTCTGTGTAAAGGGACGTTCCACTCTGTGAGTTGAATACGCACAGCACAAAGAAGTTACTGAGAATTCTTCTGTCTAGCATGAAATGAAGAAATCCCGTTTTCAACGAAGGCCTCAAAGCGGTCCAGATATCCACTTGCAGACTTTACAAACGGAGTGTCTCCAAACTGCTCTATGAAAAGAAAGGTTAAACTATGTGAGTTGAACGCACACATCACAAAGAATTTTCTGAGAATGATTCTGTCTGGTTTTTATTTGAAGATATTTCCCTTTCTACTGTTGGCATCAAATGGCTAGAAATCTCCACTTGCAAATTCCGCAAAAAGAGTGTTTCAAATCTGCTCTGTCTAAAGGGACGTTCCACTCTGTCAGTTGAATGCACACAACACAAAGAATTTACTGAGAATTCTTCCGTCTAGCATTCAATGAAGAAATCCCGTTTCCAACGAAGGCCTCAAACAGGTCCATATATCCAATTGCAGACTTTACAAACAGTGTGTTTCCAAACTCCTCTATGAAAAGAAAGGTTAAACACTGTGAGTTGAACGCACACATCACAAAGCACTTTCTGAGAATGATTCTGTCTAGTTTTTATTTGAAGATATTTCCCTTTGTACTGTTGGCATCAAATGGCTAGAAATCTCCACTTGCAACTTCCGCAAAAAGAGTGTTTCAAATCTGCTCTGTCTAAAGGGACGTTCCACTCTGTGAGTTGAATGCACACAACACAAAAAAGTTACTGAGAACTCTTCTTAGTCTAGCATTAAAGGAAGAAACCCCGTTTGCAACGAAGGCCTCAAAGAGGTCCAAATATCCACTTGCAGACATAACAAGCAGAGTGTTTCTAAACTGCTCTAAGAAAAGAAAGGTTAAACTCTGTGAGTTGAAGGCACACATCACAAAGTAGTTTCTGAGAATGATTCTGTCTAGTTTTTATTTGAAGATATTTCCTTTTCTACTGTTGGCATCAAATCGCTTGAAATCTCCACTTGCAAACTCCACAAAAAGAGTGTTTCAAATCTGCTCTGTGTAAAGGGACGTTGCACTCTGTGAGTTGAATACACACAGCACAAAGAAGTTACTGAGAATTCTTCTGTCTAGCATGAAATGAAGAAATCCCGTTTCCAACGAAGGCCTCAATGCGGTCCATATATCCACTTGCAGACATTACCAACAGAGTGTTTCCAAACTGCTCTATGAAAAGAAAGGTTAAACTATGTGAGTTGAAGGCACACATCACAAAGCACTTTCTGAGAATGATTCTGTCTAGTTTTTATTTGCAGCTATTTCCTTTTCTACTGTTGGCCTCAAATCGCTTGAAATCTCCACTTGCAAATTCCACAAAAAGAGTGTTTCAAATCTGCTCTGTGTAAAGGGACGTTCCAATCTGTGAGTTGAATGCACACAACACAAAGAAGTTACTGAGAATTCTTCCGTCTAGCAGTCAATGAAGAAATCCCGTTTCCAACGAAGGCCTCAAACAGGTCCATATATCCACTTGCAGACTTTACAAACAGTGTGTTTCCAAACTCCTCTATGAAAAGAAAGGTTAAACTCTGTGAGTGGAACGCACACATCACAAAGCACTTTCTGAGAATGATTCTGTCTGGTTATTATACGAAGATATTTCTTTTTCTGCAATTGTCCTCAAATCGCTTGAAATCTCCACCTGAAAATGCCACAGCAAGAGTGTTTCAAATCTGCTCTCTCTAAAGCAAGGTTCAACTCTGTGAGTTGAATACACACAACACAAAAAAGTTACTGAGAACTCTTCTTAGTCTAGCATTAAAGGAAGAAATCCCGTTTGCAACGAAGGCCTCAAAGAGGTTCAAATATCCACTTGGAGACATAACAAGCAGAGCGTTTCTAAACTGCTCTAGGAAAAGAAAGGTTAAACACTGTGAGTTGAAGGCACACATCACAAAGAATTTTCTGAGAATGATTCTGTCTAGTTTTTATTTGAAGATATTTCCTTTTCTACTGTTGGCATCAAATCGCTTGAAATCTCCACTTGCAAACTCCACAAAAAGAGTGTTTCAAATCTGCTCTGTGCAAAGGGACGTTGCACTCTGTGAGTTGAGTACACACAGCACAAAGAAGTTACTTAGAATTCTTCTGTCTAGCATGAAATTAAGAAATCCCGTTTCCAACGAAGGCCTCAATGCGGTCCATATATCCACTTGCAGACATTACCAACAGAGTGTTTCCAAACTGGTCTATGAAAAGAAAGTTTAAACTATGTGAGTTGAACGCACACATCACAAAGAATTTTCTGAGGATGATTCTGTCTGGTTTTTATTTGAAGATATTTCCCTTTCTACTGTTGGCATCAAATTGCTAGAAATCTCCACTTGCAAATTCCGCAAAAAGTGTGTTTCAAATCTGCTCTGTCTAAAGGGACGTTCCACTCTGTGAGTTGAATGCACACAACACAAAGAATTTACTGAGAATTCTTCCGTCTAGCATTCAATGAAGAAATCCCGTTTCCAACGAAGGCCTCAAACAGGTCCATATATCCACTTGCAGACTTTACAAACAGTGTGTTTCCAAATTCCTCTATGAAAAGAAAGGTTAAACTCTGTGAGTGGAACGCACACATCACAAAGCACTTTCTGAGAATGATTCTGTCTGGTTGTTATACGAAGATATTTCCTTTTCTGCAATTGTCCTCAAATCGCTTGAAATCTCCACCTGAAAATGCCACAGCAAGAGTGTTTCAAATCTGCTCTCTCTAAAGCAAGGTTCAACTCTGTGAGTTGAATACACACAACACAAAAAAGTTACTGAGAACTCTTCTTAGTCTAGCATTAAAGGAAGAAACCCCGTTTGCAACGAAGGCCTCAAAGAGGTCCAAATATCCACCTGCAGACATAACAAGCAGAATGTTTCTAAACTGCTCTAAGAAAAGAAAGGTTAAACTCTGTGAGTTGAAGGCACACATCACAAAGTAGTTTCTGAGAATGATTCTGTCTAGTTTTTATTTGAAGATATTTCTTTTTCTACTGTTGGCATCAAATCGCTTGAAATCTCCACTTGCAAACTCCACAAAAAGAGTGTTTCAAATCTGCTCTGTGTAAAGGGACGTTCCACTCTGTGAGTTGAATACACACAGCACAAAGAAGTTACTGAGAATTCTTCTGTCTAGCATTCAATGAAGAAATCCCGTTTCCAAGGAATGCCTGAAAGCGGTACATATATCCACTTGCAGATTTTACAAACAGTGTGTTTCGAAACTGCTCTATGAAAAGAAAGGTTAAACTATGTGAGCTGAACGCACACATCACAAAGAATTTTCTGAGAATGATTTCTGTCTAGTTTTTATTTGAAGATATTTCCCTTTCTACAGTTGGCATCAAATGGCTACAAATCTCCACTTGCAAATTCCACAAAAAGAGTGTTTCAAATCTGCTCTGTCTAAAGGGACGTTCCACTCTGTGAGTTGAATGCACACAACAAAAAGAATTTACTGAGAATTCTTCCGTCTAGCATGCAATGAAGAAATCCCGTTTCCAACGAAGGCCTCAAACAGGTCCATATATCCAATTGCAGACTTTACAAACAGTGTGTTTCCAAACTCCTCTATGAAAAGAAAGGTTAAACTCTGTGAGTTGAACGCACACATCACAAAGCACTTTCTGAGAATGATTCTGTCTAGTTTTTATTTGAAGATATTTCCCTTTCTACTGTTGGCATCAAATGGCTAGAAATCTCCACTTGCAACTTCCGCAAAAAGAGTGTTTCAAATCTGCTCTGTCTAAAGGGACGTTCCACTCTGTGAGTTGAATGCACACAACACAAAGAATTTACTGAGAATTCTTCCGTCTAGCATTCAATGAAGAAATCCCGTTTCCAACGAAGGCCTCAAACAGGTCCATATATCCACTTGCAGACGTTACAAACAGTGTGTTTCCAAACTCCTCTATGAAAAGAAAGGTTAAACTCTGTGAGTTGAACGCACACATCACAAAGCACTTTCTGAGAATGATTCTGTCTGGTTATTATACGAAGATATTTCCTTTTCTGCAATTGTCCTCAAATCGCTTGAAATCTCCACCTGAAAATGCGACATCAAGAGTGTTTCAAATCTGCTCTCTCTAAAGCAAGGTTCAACGCTGTGAGTTGAATACACACAACACAAAAAAGTTACTGAGAACTCTTCTTAGTCTAGCATTAAACGAAGAAACCCCGTTTGCAATGAAGGCCTCAAAGTAGGTCCAAATATCCACTTGCAGACATAACAAGCAGAGTGTTTCTAAACTGCTCTAAGAAAAGAAAGGTTAAACTCTGTGAGTTGAAGGCACACATCACAAAGTAGTTTCTGAGAATGATTCTGTCTAGTTTTTATTTGAAGATATTTCCTTTTCTACTGTTGGCATCAAATCGCTTGAAATCTCCACTTGCAAATTCCACAAAAAGAGTGTTTCAAATCTGCTCTGTGCAAACGGACGTTCCAGTCTGTGAGTTGAATACACACAGCACAGAGAAGTTACTGAGAATTCTTCTGTCTAGCATGAAATGAAGAAATCCCGTTTCCAACAAAGGCCTCAATGCGGTCCATATATCCACTTGCAGACTTTACAAACAGAGTGTTTCCAAACTGCTCTATGAAAAGAAAGGTTAAACTATGTGAGTTGAACGCACACGTCACAAAGAATTTTCTGAGAATGATTCTGTCTAGTTTTTATTTGAAGATATTTCCCTTTCTATTGTTGGCATCAAATGGCTTGAAATCTGCACTTCCAAATTTCGCAAAAAGAGTGTTTCAAATCTGCTCTGTCTAAAGGGACGGTTCCACTCAGTGAGTTGAATGCACACAACAAAAAGAGTTTACTGAGAATTCTTCTGTCTAGCATTATATGAAAAAATCCCGTTTCCAACGAAGGCCTCAAACAGGTCCAAATATCCACTTGCAGACTTTACAAACAGTGTGTTTCCAAACTGCTCTATGAAAAGAAAGTTTAAACTCTCTGAGTTCAACGTACACATCACAAAGCACTTTCTGAGTATGATTCTGTCTGGTTATTATACGAAGGTATTTCCTTTTCTGCAATTGTCCTCAAATCGTTTGAAATCTCCACCTGAAAATGCCACAGCGAGAGTGTTTCAAATCTGCTCTCTCTAAAGCAAGGTTCAACTCTGTGAGTTGAATACACACAACACAAAAAAGTTACTGAGAACTCTTCTTAGTCTAGCATGAAAGGAAGAAACCCCGTTTGCAACGAAGGCCTCAAAGAGGTCCAAATATCCACTTGCAGACATAACAAGCAGAGTGTTTCTAAACTGCTCTAAGAAAAGAAAGGTTAAACCCTGTGAGTTGAAGGCACACATCACAAAGTAGTTTCTGAGAATGATTCTGTCTAGTTTTTATTTGAAGATATTTCCTTTTCTACTGTTGGCATCAAATCGCTTGAAATCTCCACTTGCAAATTCCACAAAAAGAGTGTTTCAAATCTGCTCAGTCTAAAGGGACGTTCCACTCTGTGAGTTCAATGCACACAACACAAAGAATTTACTGAGAATTCTTCTGACTAGCATGAAATGAAGAAATCCCGTTTCCAACGAAGGCCTCAAAGCGGTCCATATATCCACTTGCAGACTTTACAAACGGAGTGTCTCCAAACTGCACTATGAAAAGAAAGGTTAAACTATGTGAGT
This sequence comes from Homo sapiens, assembly GCF_000001405.40. Lineage (NCBI taxonomy): Eukaryota > Metazoa > Chordata > Mammalia > Primates > Hominidae > Homo > Homo sapiens. The sequence goes on along the minus strand of NC_000007.14, from coordinate 58,174,967 downwards.
TGAACGCACACATCACAAAGAATTTTCTGAGAATGATTCTGTCTGGTTTTTATTTGAAGATATTTCCCTTTCTACTGTTGGCATCAAATGGCTAGAAATCTCCACTTGCAAATTCCGCAAAAAGAGTGTTTCAAATCTGCTCTGTCTTAAGGGACGTTCCACTCTGTCAGTTGAATGCCCACAACACAAAGAATTTACTGAGAATTCTTCCGTCTAGCATTATATGAAAAAATCCCGTTTCCAACGAAGGCGTCAAAGAGGTCCAAATATCCACTTGCAGACTTTACAGACAGTGTGTTTCCAAACTGCTCTATGAGAAGAAAGGCTAAACTCTGTGAGTTGAACGCCCACATCACAAAGCACTTTCTGAGAATGATTCTGTCTGGTTTTTATACGGAGATATTTCCTTTTCTGCAATTGTCCTCAAATCGCTTGAAATCTCCACCTGAAAATTGCACAGCAAGTGTGTTTCAAATCTGCTCCCTCTAAAGCAAGGTTCAACACTGTGAATTGAATACACACAACACAAAAAAGTTACTGAGAACTCTTCTTAGTCTAGCATGAAAGGAAGAAACCCCGTTTGCAACGAAGGCCTCAAAGAGGTCCAAATATCCAGTTGCAGACATAACAAGCAGAGTGTTTCTAAACTGCTCTAAGAAAAGAAAGGTTAAACTCTGTGAGTTGAAGGCACACATCACAAAGTAGTTTCTGAGAATGGTTCTGTCTAGTTTTTATTTGAAGATATTTCCTTTTCTACTGTTGGCATCAAATCGCTTGAAATCTCCACTTGCAAATTCCACAAAAAGAGTGTTTCAAATCTGCTCTGTGCAAAGGGACGTTCCACTCTGTGAGTTGAATACACACAGCACAAAGAAGTTACTGAGAATTCTTCTGTCTAGCATGAAATGAAGAAATCCCGTTTCCAACGAAGGCCTCAATGCGGTCCATATATCAACTTGCAGACTTTACAAACAGAGTGTTTCCAAACTGCTCTATGAAAAGAAAGGTTAAACTATGTGAGTTGAACGCACACATCACAAAGAATTTTCTGAGAATGATTCTGTCTAGTTTTTATTTGAAGATATTTCCCTTTCTATTGTTGGCATCAAATGGCTTGAAATCTCCACTTCCAAATTTCGCAAAAAGAGTGTTTCAAATCTGCTCTGTCTAAAGGGACGTTCCACTCAGTGAGTTGAATGCACACAACACAAAGAGTTTACTGAGAATTCTTCCGTCTAGCATTATATGATAAAATCCCGTTTCCAACGAAGGCCTCAAACAGGTCCATATATCCACTTGCAGACTTTACAAACAGTGTGTTTCCAAACTCCTCTATGAAAAGAAAGGTTAAACTCTGTGATTTGAACGCACACATCACAAAGCACTTTCTGAGAATGATTCTGTCTGGTTATTATACGAAGATATTTCCTTTTCTGCAATTGTCCTCAAATCGCTTGAAATCTGCACCTGAAAATGCCACAGCAAGATTGTTTCAAATCTGCTCTCTCTAAAGCAAGGTTCAACTCTGTGAGTTGAATACACACAACACAAAAAAGTTACTGAGAACTCTTCTTAGTCTAGCATTAAAGGAAGAAATACCGTTTGCAACGAAGGCCTCAAAGAGGTCCAAATATCCACTTGCAGACATAACAAGCAGAGTGTTTCTAAACTGCTCTAAGAAAAGAAAGGTTAAACTCTGCGAGTTGAAGGCACACATCACAAAGTAGTTTCTGAGAATGATTCTGTCTAGTTTTTATTTGAAGATATTTCCTTTTCTACTGTTGGCATCAAATCGCTTGAAATCTCCACTTGCAAATTCCACAAAAAGAGTGTTTCAAATCTGCTCTGTGTAAAGGGACGTTCCACTCTGTGAGTTGAATACACACAGCACAAAGAAGTTACTGAGAATTCTTCTGTCTAGCATGAAATGAAGAAATCCCGTTTCCAACGAAGGCTTCAATGCGGTCCATATATCCACTTGCACACTTTACAAACAGAGTGTTTCCAAACTGCTCTATGAAAAGAAAGGTTAAATTATGTGAGTTGAACGCACACATCACAAAGAATTTTCTGAGAATGATTCTGTCTGGTTTTTATTTGAAGATATTTCCCTTTCTACTGTTGGCATCAAATGGCTAGAAATCTCCACTTGCAAATTCCGCAGAAAGAGTGTTTCAAATCTGCTCTGTCTAAAGGGACGTTCCACTCTGTGAGTTGAATGCACACAACACAAAGAATTTACTGAGAATTCTTCCGTCTAGCATTCAATGAAGAAATCCCGTTTCCAACGAAGGCCTCAAACAGGTCCATATATCCACTTGCAGAGTTTACAAACAGTGTGTTTCCAAACTCCTCTATGAAAAGAAAGGTTAAACTCTGTGAGTGGAACGCACACATCACAAAGCACTTTCTGAGAATGATTCTCTCTGGTTATTATACGAAGATATTTCCTTTTCTGCAATTGTCCTCAAATCGCTTGAAATCTCCACCTGAAAATTCCACAGCAAGAGTGTTTCAAATCTGCTCTCTCTAAAGCAAGGTTCAACTCTGTGAGTTGAATAAACACAACACAAAAAAGTTACTGAGAACTCTTTAGTCTAGCATTAAAGGAAGAAACCCCGTTTGCAACGAAGGCCTCAAAGAGGTCCAAATATCCACTTGCAGACATAACAAGCAGAGTGTTTCTAAACTGCTCTATGAAAAGAAAGGTTAAACTCTGTGAGTTGAAGGCACACATCACAAAGTAGTTTCTGAGAATGATTCTGTCTAGTTTTTATTTGAAGATATTTCCTTTTATACTGTTGGCATCAAATCGCTTGAAATCTCCACTTGCAAACTCCACAAAAAGAGTGTTTCAAATCTGCTCTGTGCAAAGGGACGTTCCACTCTGTGAGTTGAATACACACAGCACAAAGAAGTTACTGAGAATTCTTCTGTCTAGCATGAAATGAAGAAATCCCGTTTCCAACGAAGGCCTCAATGCGGTCCATATATCCACTTGCAGACTTTACAAACAGAGTGTTTCCAAACTGGTCTATGAAAAGAAAGGTTAAACTATGTGAGTTGAACGCACACATCACAAAGAATTTTCTGAGAATGATTCTGTCTGGTTTTTATTTGAAGATGTTTCCCTTTCTACTGTTGGCATCAAATGGCTAGAAATCTCCACTTGCAAATTCCGCAAAAAGAGTGTTTCAAATCTGCTCTGTCTAAAGGGACGTTCCACTCTGTCAGTTGAATGCACACAACACAAAGTATTTACTGAGAATTCTTCCGTCTAGCATTCAATGAAGAAATCCCGTTTCCAACGGAAGCCTCAAACAGGTCCATATATCCAATTGCAGACTTTACAAACAGGGTGTTTCCAAGCTCCTCTATGAAAAGAAAGGTTAAACTCTGTGAGTTGAACGCACACATCACAAAGCACTTTTTGAGAATGATTCTGTCTGGTTATTATACGAAGATATTTCCTTTTCTGCAATTGTCCTCAAATCGCTTGAAATCTCCACCTGAAAATGCCACAGCAAGAGTGTCTCAAATCTGCTGTCTCTAAAGCAAGGTTCAACTCTGTGAGTTGAATACACACAACACAAGAAAGTTACTGAGAACTCTTCTTAGTCTAGCATTAAAGGAAGAAACCCCGTTTGCAACGAAGGCCTCAAAGAGGTCCAAATATCCACTTGCAGACACAACAAGCAGAGTGTTTCTAAACTGCTCTAAGAAAAGAAAGGTTAAACTCTGTGAGTTGAAGGCACACATCACAAAGTAGTTTCTGAGAATGATTCTGTCTAATTTTTATTTGCAGATATTTCCTTTTCTACTGTTGGCATCAAATCGCTTGAAATCTCCACTTGCAAATTCCACAAAAAGAGTGTTTCAAATCTGCTCTGTTTAAAGGGACATTCCAATCTGTGAGTTGAATACACACAACACAAAGAAGTTATTGAGAATTCTTCTGTCTAGCATTAAACGAAGAAATCCCGTTTCCAACGAAGGTCTCAAAGCGGTCCATATATCCACTTGCAGACTTTACAAACAGAGTTTTTCCAAACTGCTCTATGAAAAGAAAGGCTAAACTCTGTGTTTTCAATGCACACATCACAAAGCACTTTCTGAGAATGATTCTGTCTGGTTTTTATACGAAGATATTTCATTTTCTGCAATTGTCCTCAAATCGCTTGAAATCTCCACCTGAGAATGCCACAGCAAGAGTGTTTCAAATCTGCTCTCTCGAAAGCAAGGTTCAACTCTGTGAGTTGAATACACACAACACAAAAAAGTTACTGAGAACTCTTCTTAGTCTAGCATGAAATGAAGAAATCCCGTTTGCAACGAAGGCCTCAAAGAGGTCCAAATATCCACTTGCAGACTTTACAAACAGTGTGTTTCCAGACTGCTCTATTAGAAGAAATGCTAAACTCTGTGAGTTGAACGCACACATCACAAACACTTTCTGAGAATGATTCTGTCTGGTTTTATACGAAGATATTTCCTTTTCTGCAATTGTCCTCAAATCGCTTGAAATCTCCAACTGAAAATTCCACAGCAAGAGTGTTTCAAATCTCCTCTCTCTAAAGCAAAGTTCAACACTGTGTGTTGAATACACACAACACAAAAAAGTTACTGAGAACTATCCTTAGTCTAGCAATAAATGAAGAAATCCCGTTTGCAACGAAGGCCTCAAAGAGTTCCAAATATCCACTTGCAGACATTACAAGCAGAGTGTTTCTAAACTGCTCTCAGAAAAGAATGGTTAAACTCTGTGAGTTGAAGGCACACATCACAAAGTAGTTTCTGAGAATGATTCTGTCTAGTTTTTATTTAAGATATTTCCATTTCTACAGTTGGCATCAAGTCGCTTGAAATCTCCCCTTGCAAATTCACAAAAAGAGTGTTTCAAATCTGCTCTGTCTAAAGGGACGTTCCACTCTGTGAGTTGAATACACACAACACAAAGAAGTTACTGAGAATTCTTCTGTCTAGCACGAAATGAAGAAATCCCGTTTCCAACGAAGGCCTCAATGCGGTCTATATATCCACTTGCAGACTTTACAAACAGAGTGTTTCCAAACTGCTCTATGAAAAGAAAGGTTAAACTATGTGAGTTGAACGCACACATCACAAAGAATTTTCTGAGAATGATTCTGTCTAGTTTTTACTTGAAGATATTTCCCTTTCTATTGTTGGCATCAAATGGCTTGAAATCTCCACTTCCAAATTTCGCAAAAAGAGTGTTTCAAATCTGGTCTGTCTAAAGGGACGTTCCACTCGGTGAGTTGAATGCACACAACACAAAGAATTTACTGAGAATTCT